>NW_016107307.1:0-166713 GCF_000001405.40 Homo sapiens | reverse complement strand
AAAAGGCCTTTGACAAAATTCAACAACGCTTCATGCTAAAAACTCTCAATAAATTAGGCATTGATGGGACGTATCTCAAAATAATAAGAGCCATCTATAACAAACCCACAGCCAGTATCATACTGAATGGGCAAAAACTGGAAGCATTCCCTTTGAAAACTGGCACAAGACAGGGATGCCCTCTTTCACCACTCCTATTCAACATAGTGTTGGAAGTTCTGGCCAGGGCAATTAGGCAGGAGAAGGAAATAAAGGGTATTCAATTAGGAAAAGAGGAAGTCAAATTGTCCCTGTTTGCAGATGACATGATTGTATATATAGAAAACCCCATTGTCTCAGCCCAAAATCTCCTTAAGCTGATAAGCAGCTTCTACAAAGTCTCAGGATACAGAATCAATGTACAAAAATCACAAGCATTCTTATACACCAATAACAGACAAACAGAGAGCCAAATCATGAGTGAACTCCCATTCACAATTGCTTCAAAGAGAATAAAATACCTAGGAATCCAACTTACAAGGGATATGAAGGACCTCTTCAAGGAGAACTACAAACCACTGCTCAATGAAATAAAAGAGGATACAAACAAATGGAAGAACATTCCATGCTCATGGGTAGGAAGAATCAAGATCGTGAAAATGGCCATACTGCCCAAGGTAATTTATAGATTCAATGCCATCCCCATCAAGCTACCAATGACTTTCTTCACAGAATTGGAAAAAACTACCTTAAAGTTCATATGGAATCAAAAAAGAGCCTGCATTGCCAAGTCAATCCTAAGCCAAAAGAACAAAGCTGGAGGCATCATGCTGCCTGACTTCAAACTATACTACAAGGCTACAGTAACCAAAACAGCATGGTACTGGTACCAAAACAGAGATATAGATCAATGGAACAGAATAGAGCCCTCAGAAATAATGCCACATATCTACAACTATGTGATCTTTGACAAACCTGAGAAAAACAAGCAATGGGGAAAGGATTCCCTATTTAATAAATGGTGCTGGGAAAACTGGCTAGCCATAGGTAGAAAGCTGAAACTGGATCCCTTCCTTACACCTTATACAAAAATTAATTTGAGATGGATTAAAGACTTAAACGTTAGACCTAAAACCATAAAAACCCTAGAAGAAAACCTAGGCATTACCATTCAGGACATAGGCATGGACAAGGACTTCATGTCTAAAACACCAAAAGCAACGGCAACAAAAGCCAAAATTGACAAACGGGATCTAATTAAACTAAAGAGCTTCTGCACAGCAAAAGAAACTACCATCAGAGTGAACAGACAACCTACAAAATGGGAGAAAATTTTCGCAACCTACTCATCTGACAAAGGGCTAATATCCAGAATCTACAATGAACTCAAACAAATTTACAAGAAAAAAACAAACAATCCTATCAAAAAGTGGGCAAAGGACATGAACAGACACTTCTCAAAAGAAGACATTTATGCAGCCAAAAAACACATGAAAAAATGCTCACCATGACTGGCCATCAGAGAAATGCAAATCAAAACCACAATGAGATACCATCTCACACCAGTTAGAATGGCGATCATTAAAAAGTCGGGAAACAACAGGTGCTGGAGAGGATGTGGAGAAATAGGAACACTTTTACACTGTTGGTGGGACTGTAAACTAGTTCAACCATTGTGGAAGTCAGTGTGGCGATTCCTCAGGGATCTAGAGCTTGAAATACCATTTGACCCAGCCATCCCATTACTGGGTATAAACCCAAAGGACTATAAATCATGCTGCTATAAAGACACATGGACACGTATGTTTATTGTGGCACTATTCACAATAGCAAAGACTTGGAACCAACCCAAATGTCCAACAATGATAGACTGGATGAAGAAAATGTGGCACATATACACCATGGAATACTATGCAGCCATAAAAAATGATGAGTTCATGTCCTTTGCAGGGACATGGATGAAATTGGAAATCATCATTCTCAGTAAACTATCACAAGGACAAAAATCCAAACACCGCATGTTCTCACTTATAGGTGGGAATTGAACAATGAGAACACATGGACACAGGAAGGGGAACATCACACTCTGGGGACTGTTGTGGGGTGGGGGGAGGGGGGAGGGATAGCATTAGGAGATATACCTAATGCTAAATGACGAGTTGATGGGTGCAGCACACCAGCATGGCACATGTATACATATGTAACTAACCTGCACATTGTGCACATGTACCCTAAAACTTAAAGTATAATAATAATAAAAATTTTAAAAAAAAGCTCATCAGAAGCACTATACAAAAAAAAAAAAAAAAAAAAAAAGAAGTAACCCAGGCTCAAGTGTTCTTTTATAGCAACAAAAATGGACTAAGACAGCAACGTCCTGAGATCAGGAGGAACGTCTCAGAACAGCCTGTGCTGTCTTCCTGTTCTTCCTGGAGGAGGACGTCATGCAGTGCTTTAGCTGAGTGCTTCCTGTGGCTTCAGGGTACAAAACCCAGGCTGGGCTATTTTCTGGCTTCCCCCAGATACACTGCAAATGAGGTGACTCCATATGTCCCGAGCAGCTTTTCTGAGCCTTGAGGGACTGGCTCACGTTGAAATGTAGGCTTCTGTTGTCACTCGCTGCTTATCTGTTAGTAATGAACCTGCCTATGTAACGTATTCTCTGTGTGTTCTGTCTCCCTGGAGTGACGGTGAGTGATAGAAATTGGCATAGGCCCAGGTGCAGTACAGCAGGTGTTTAGAGTCTTCTCTGGAAAGACTGGACTGGGATTGATACACAGTGAATGTGCTTTACAGTTTCTACATCCACAACCCTCTTGACTCAAATTACATTCTCCAAGAAAAGGACACAAAAGTGAAATCAAGATCAAAAAAGCAAAGTAGAATTCTCTTATGTCAAACAGCCAGGAAATAATGATGAAGCCCATGTGAAACGTGCTACTCTTTGTGATCTCGCGAGACACATGTTAGGCTGCTGTTCCACCTGAGAGGCTGGGGGAAAGACCACCCCCTCCACCATCTATTGCTTCAAAACCACCTGTCCTCCTGTGAATTAGTAGGAAAGGGGAGCAGGAGCTAGTGCTGGTGCTGATCTCTGATTCCAAGATCTGAACTCACTCCAAGGAGTATTAGCGTTTACCTCCCCATGATCTATCTGTATCTCCACAGGTGATTGGAAGTAGGGGTGAGGTGGGGGATTTGGGTGAGGGGGAAAGTTTCTTGTGATGAACAGAGCACTTTCCCTATTTCAGGGCCTGTGCTGGTGGGTTCAGGGGGCTTTCATATTTTCCATATGATCTCATGTTCACAGAAAGCCAAATATGGAAGAGGTTTTAGGCTGATTTTCTAATGGATAAGATAAAGGATCAAAGAAGTAATTATAGAGGAATAGAAAAATGATGATTGGAATTCAGGTGCCTGCATCATTTGTGTATATTATTATATTTATGTATTTTTTATTTTTATTTTTTGAGACAGAGTATCCCTGTGTAGCCCAGGCTGGTGTGCAGTGATGCGATCTCCACTCACTGCAACCTCTGCCTCCAGGGCTGAAGTCATTCTCCTGCTTCCTCCTCCAGAGTAGCTGGGATTACAGTCATGCACCACCATCATGCCTGTTTAATTTTTGTATTTTTAGTAGAGATAGGGTTTCTCCATGTTGGCCAGGCTGGTCTCGAACTCCTGACTTCATGTGATCCACCCGCGTTGGCCTCCTGAAGTGCTGGGTTATAGGCGTGAGCCACCGTTCACAGCCTTGTATATTATGCTATACTAGGTCCCTTCATTTGCACCACCCCTCATCTAGCTCTCCCTCCTCTGCCAGGTATTGATTTAGATGCAGGAGAAATAAATCTCAGAAATAAGTTAGTGAAGCGAGGATTAAACTACCAGGAAAAATTAAACCCAGCAAGCCTTTCCAGCCAATGATTCTACCTCACAAACATATCTTATATCCATCTACTTCATTCATTTAGTGTCTAAATCAGCACCACATTTCACCAGTGGGGCGGCAATTGCCTTTTCCACGGTCTCCTAGATTCCAGTTATGCAACTGAGCCTCCCTTATTTTCATGTCAGTCATATTAATCATGTAGGGATTCCTGGTTACCTCGAGGTGAATCCAATGGCTGTGAGTGTCAAACACACGCTCCTTGTTGCTCCTTAGTTTCCTGTGTACCCAGTGTGCTCTCCGTCTCTCTACAGTCATCTTGTCATTCTCCCCACCTCATTCCCAGCATTTCAGGCAGAGCCTCTTCCTTCCACATCAGATTGTTTTCACCTTTGTGCCTTCACGGCTGACAGCTGTGTGTGCAAAATCCTTCCGCCAATCTTTCAGGGGTTCAATCCGTGTTTTTCATTAATGTCACAAATATCTGATTAGTGAGAACTTCTCTGTCACCTGAAATAATACTCTCAGCATTATCTATTATTGATTTGAAAATTTGGCTTGGCCCCGTGGCTCATGCCTCTTATCCCAGCGTGTTGGGAGGCAGAGGCTATTGGATCACCTGAGGTTGGGAATTTGAGACCAGCCTGGCCAACATGGTGAAACATCCTCTCTACAGAAAATATGCAAAAAGAGTTAGCCGGGCGTGGTGGTTGTGGTCTGTAATCCCAGCTACTGGAGAGGCTGAGGGAGGAGATCAGTTCAGCCCAGGAGGTGGAGGTTGCAGTGAGCCGAGATCATGCCACCGCACTCTAGCCTGGACGACAGAGCAAGGCTCCGTCTCAATAAACAAGTAGGTAAATACATAAATAAATAGATTTCATGCACAGATGCTTCTCAATAGATCATTCATTTATTGGTCCCCTTGTGCCTACATTTTCTGCCCTCCCATTTAACCATCTGCAAGATCAGTGTCCCAAGAACAGAGGCCAAATGCATCTTGTTCACTGTTTGTGGAAGGCAGGAGAATGTTGTCCCACCCCAAAAATGTCCATGTCCTAGCCTCCATAGCTTGTGAATATGTTATTTTACATGAAAGGAGGAATGAAGATTGCAGATGGAATTATGGTTGCTAGTCAGCTGAACTTAAAAGGAGGGTATCCTGGATGATTTCCGGGAGATTATGATGGATTTTCATCTTGGTGAACCCAATAGAATCCCCAAGTTTTCAAAAGAAGGGCAAGAAGGGAGAGCAGCATTCAGAGAAAGAGGTGTGGTAAGGAAGAAGGGTCTGAGTGATGCCATGTGAGATGTGACCAGTCTTTGTGGGCTTTGAGGAAGGAGGAAGGGTACCAGGAGCCAAGGAACATGGGAGCCTCTAGAAGCTGAGAAAAGTGAGAAGCAGATTCTTGCCTGGAACCCTCAGAGGGAAGGCAGCCTTGCTGTCACCTTGATTTTAGCCCAGTGACATGCACGTCATGCTTTGAGCTACAGCACTGTAAGATAATTAAATAACCGTTTTGTTTTCACACACGAATCTTGTGGAAATTTGTTATGGCAACAATAGGAAAAGCTTCCACACTGCACAGCCTGAGCATGGGGCTGTGGCTGAATGAGTCACTGAGTCGAAGTGTGCGTGCATGAGCTCTGTTCTCTGTTACGGCAAGGCTCTTGCTCTGCTGAGTCAGCCAGGGTTGCCTGATGACCAACAGTAATTCATTCCTTGGCAAGTGGAACTTCTCTAAAACACCCACCCTCATCAGATGTTCCCTTCCCTTCCCTCTCTCAAGCCCCCGGGAATTTATCCTCCAGTTAGGAATGCAGGCAGAAAAAACACTGCATTTTTCCTGAGAAGGATGTCAGATTGGCAATTATTCTTCTAGCTTGTAGGAGGTCTCACCTGCAGGAAATTAAAGGTAAAGAGACTTCGCTGAGCCCTTTGGTGGCCCTAGATCCCTTTCACTGTTGGAGTGTCTGGAGTTCAGAGATGGTGGAAGACAGGCCCTCATTCACAGAGCTGGGAGGTTTGAGCCAACACTTGCATCCAAGGCTTCCACCTCCCCAGGTTTCCAAAAGCAGAGATAAGAGGGGTCCTTTACTCACCAGATTTGGAGCTTGGTTCTGTGGGTGAAGGCCAACTACTTGAAGGGTTTCCTAGAACACGGGACAGGAGAGATGTGAGGAAATGAGGGTGCTTGTCCTCTACTCAATGGAAATCTTTGAGGTTGGTTCATGGCCAACACTCTGTTATCTAATGTTGGACCCTGGGAGTCTTGGGATCCTTTTCTCCATAATTTTTGTGTGCGATGCCCACTGTCTTGAGACTTGAAGGTATAAAGAGAAAACAGGAGCATCACACTACCTGACTTAGAAATATGTTACAGAGCTGTAGTAAGCAAAACAGCATGACATTGGCATAAAGAAAGGCACATAAAAAATGGAACAGAATGGAGAACACAGATATAATCCATGCATTTACATCCAATGGCTTTCTTTTGTGTGTGTGTGATAGAATCTTGCTCTGTCATGCAGGCTGGAGTGTAGAGGTGCAATCTCAGCTCAATGCAACCTCCACTTCCTGGATTCAAGAAATTCTCTTGCTTCAAACTCCTGAGTAGTGGTATTACAGGCACTGATCACCATGCTCAGCTAATTTTTGTATTTTTAGTAGAGACGAGGTTTCACTCTGTTGGCCAGCCTGGTCTTGAACTCCTGGCTTTAGGTGATCCACCCGCCTCGGCCTCCCAAAGTGCTGGAATTGCAGGTGTGAGCCACCATACCCAGCCCATTTAATGGACTTTGACAAAGGTGCCGAGAACTTACAATCAGGAAAGGACAGTCTTCAATAAATGGTGTGGGGAAAACTGGATATCTACATGCAGAGGAATAAAACTGCATCTATACCTGTCACCTTACACAAAAATCAAATGAAAATGGATTAAAAACATGAGTCTAAGGCCTGAACCTATGAAACATGTAGAAGAAAATAATGGGGAAGACATTTGTCTGACGAAAGACATTTTGTTTAAAACCTTCAAAACACAAGTAATCAAAGCAAAAAATAGACCATTAGGATTACATCAAACCAAGCAACTTCTGCACCACCAAAGATAAACCAACAAAGTGAAGAGACAACCCACAAAATAGGAGCAAATATTTGCAAACTATTCATCTGAGATGGGATTAATAACTGGAAATATAAGAAGCTCAAACAACTCAATAAAACAATTTAATTAAAAAACGAGCAAAAGACATGAGGAGACATTTCTCCACAAACAAAACATAGAAATGGCGATCACGTATATGAAAAAGTGCTCAGCATCACTCATCATCACAGAAATGTAAATTACAATCGCGATGAGTTTTCATCTCATCCCATTAAAATGCCTTTTAGGCCGGTGGCTCACGCCTGTAATTCCAGCACTTTGGGAGGCGGAGGTGGGCGGATCACCTGAGGTCGGGAGACCAGCCTGACCAACATGGAGAAACTCCCTCTCTACTAAACATACAAAAATTAGCTAGGCGTGGTGGCACATGCCTGTAATCCCAGCTACTTTGGAGGCTGAGGCAGGAGAATCAGTTGAACGCGGGAGGCAGAGGTTGCAGTGAGCCGAGATCACACCCTTGCACTCCAGCCTGGGCGACTATGAGTGAAACTCCATCTCAACATAAATAAATAAATAAATAAAGTAAAGTAAAATGGCTTTTATCTGCAAGACAGGCAAAACAAATGCTGGCAAGATGGTAGAGAAAGGAGAACCCTGGTACCCTGTTGGTAGGAATGTAAATTAGTACAACTATTATGGAGAAAAGTATGGAAAATCTTTAAAAAACTAAAAGGAGGCTGGGCATAGTGGCTTATGCCTGTAACTTCAGCACTTTGGGAAACCGAGGCAGGCACCTCACTTGAGGTCAGGAGTTTGAGAGCAGCCTGCCCAAAATTGGGATATCCCGTCTGTGCTAAAAAATACAAGAATTAGTCAGGCATGGTGGCGTGCACCTGTAATCACAGCTATTAGGGAGGCTGAGTCAGGACAATCGTTTGAACCTAGGAAGCAGAGGTTGCAATGAGCCAAGATCGCACCACTTTGACTCCAGCTTGGACTAAGGAGGGAAACTCTTTCTCAAAAAAGAAAAAAAAAAAAAGAGAACTTTCATAGTGTCCAGCAATTTCACTACTGGGTTTATATCCAAAGGAAAGGACATCAGTGTATCGAAGTGATATCTGCACTCATATGACTGTTCCAGCACTGTTCACAGTAGCCAAGATGTGGAGTCAACCTACCTGCCTATCAGTGGGTGAATGGATAGAGAACTGTAGTACACACACACGGTGGAGACTACTCATCCATAGAAACAATAACATCCTGTCATTTGCAGCCACATGGATGGAACTGGAGGTCATTACAAAGATTCCCATTTCTCACCACATGCAGGAGATAAAAGGTGGATCTCATGAAGGTAGAGAATAGAATGGTGGATACCAGAGGCCAGGAAGGGAAGGGTGGAAGGTAACAAAAAAAAGAATATAGATGTATTTATTTATTTAGAAACAGAGTCTCTCTCTGTCTCCCAGGCTGCAGTGCAGTGGCATGATCTCGGCTCAGTGCAACCTCTGCCTCCTGGCTTTAAGTGCTTCTCCTGCCTCAGCCTCCCAAGTAGCTAGGACTACAGGTGCATGCCGGCATGCTTGGCTAATTTTTCTTGTCTGTTTAGTAAAGATGAATTTCCCGCATGTTGGCCAGGCTGATCTCGAGTCCCTGATCTTAAATGATCCACCTTTCTTGGCCTCTCAAAGCGCCAAGATTACAACCGTGAACCACCACACCCAGCATATAAAGGTATTTATGACCACTAGATTTTACTTTTAAAAATGGTAAAGTTGGTAAATTATATAGTTACATTTAACCTCAATAAATATTTTTGAAAATGAAAAGAAAAGAGTGTAGGGGTTGCTGGTGATGACATCTCTCTGTGTGGGTGAGAGGCCAGGATGGGCTTCTGGGAAATGGGTAAGGTTGAGGGGCTGAGGGAACCTCTGATCTCCCCAAACTGAGCCCAGTCTCCCCTTCTCTGGGTCTGTCCTGACCGCTTTCTCCATCTGCCTGGGTGCCTGGAGCCCTGACCATGGGCCTCCATGCAGGCCATGCAAGAGGGTTTGGAGGTGCCCTGTCTGCCATCCTGCACCCTGACCCCCCCTCACACCCAGTCTTCGTGTTCTCTCTGCATCTGTCCATGCTTCTCCCCATCATCGGCAGGAAGCTCCTCAGCTATGGCTCTAGGATCATAAGACATGGGACAGACACGGGTTTTCCTCACCTGTGACAGAAACAAGCAGTGGGTCACTTGAGTTTGACCACACGCAGGGCAGGGCACGGAAAGAGCCGAAGCATCTGTAGGTCCCTCCGTGGGTGGCAGGGCCCAGAGGAAAGTCTGCCTGGAATGTTCTGTTGACCTTGGGCACTGCACGGAGCCTACGTTCATGGGCCTCCCCTTCCCTGGACAGATGGTAGATGTCATAGGAGCTCCAGGAGCTACAGGACAAGGTCACGTTCTCTCCTGCCTGAACCGTGGGGCCCGGCTGGGCTGAGAGAGAAGGTTTCTCATATAGACCTGGAAGGAGAAGAGGCAGTTTCCTCAGGGAGGTTCTTCCTTGTCACAGCTCCCCTCATACCTGAGCTGAGAACTCACTCCCCTGCTCTATGACCTAATGCTCTCTCTCTCTCTCACCCTCCACCCCAACTCTCTTCATGTCTATTTCCTCCTTCCGCCTTCTCTGTCTCTCTAGGTCTCTGACCTCACTTCCCCACCCCTGGGTATGCTTTCCCTTTTTGGATTGTTTTATTCTCTCTGACTCTCCTTGGATTGGTTGACTTGATCTTCCTTTTTCTATAATTCTGAGTCTCTCACTTTCTGTCTTGTTCATAACTTTCTGCATATTTCTATCTATTATCTATCTATCTATTTTGTGTCTATCTACAAATTATCTGTCATCTATATCTATGTATCATTTATCTATCAATTGTCTATCTGTCTATCCATCAATCATCTATGTATTATCTGTATCTATGTATCATCTCTCTCTCTCTCTATTACCTCTCTGTCTGCCTGTCAGTCTCTATGTATCATCTATGTATCTATATATTTATATATGTGTCTTCTATCTATCTTCATCATCATCATCATCATCATCTCTATGTATCATCTATCAATCATCATCTATGTATCTATAACCTATCCATTATCTATCATCTACCTATTTATCATCTATCTATATCTATCTATCCATCTATCATCTGTCTCTCTCCATCTCCTTGTCTTTCTCTGCCTCTCAGTCTCTCTAGTTCTATTTGGAATCTCTGCAATCCATCCCCACATCTTTATCTTTCTCTGTCTTTGTGCCCCTCCCTCAGGGTTCTGATTTTGGGGCTTTTCTCTCCTCCCTTCCAGCATTCTCTCCACTCCTCTGCCCTCTTTTCTTTCTTTTTGTGTGTCTGTGAGTCTCTCAATCCCCTTCCTCTGGCTCATTCTCTGTGTGTTTATGCCTTTGCTTTTTGAAGTCCCTGATTTATCTCTGTGTCTCTCAGTGATCCTATTATATGTAGGATTATTTGGAATATGAGCCTCAGAATCTAGTCTGGGGACACCAAGTACACACAGTATTTAGGGGTTGGTGTTCTGGGGCCATGATATCCTGGGATAATTATGGCTCCACTGCATGGAAGGCAGAGGTGTCAGAATAAACATGGCATCTGTAGATGCCACAAGGCCTGAGGCCACAGGGCCCAACTCAGGTCAGAAATATGGGTGTCCTTGGGTTCTCCTCGTAGAAGCACTTTGTGGAGACAAAACAGAAATGAAACTTCTAACCTGTGCCAGGTCTCTGAGCAAAGTCAGCATGGAAGGACACTTCTCTCTGGCACATGTCTGTCTGTCTGAGTGTCTCCTTTACCTCTTTCTCTCTTTTCTACTTCCCCGTATGGCCCCTGTGTCTGTCCTCTGTTATGACACCTGGTCTGTACTTATGTCTCCTGTTTCCCTGTCTCTGTTGGTACAGACCTCACCGAGTCAGTCTCTCTCCATAAGAATCCCACGCTTATCTTCCTCATGACCACCTGGGGGTTCCAAGTCCTGGATCATTCACTCTGTGTCCCAATGACAATGAGAAGAATGTCTGGACACTCTCACCTGTGATCACGATGTCCAGGGGGTCACTGGGAGCTGACAACTGATAGGGGGAGTGAGGAACAGAACCATAACATCTGTAGGTTCCTGCAAGGACAGGCATCAAGGGACCGATGGAGAAGTTGGCCTTGGAGACCCCATCATGGATCTGTCCAACGAGGCGTGAGGGGTCCTCAGAGATCCCCTCTCTGTGCAGAAAGAAGTGCTCAAACATGACATCTGACCAACATTGCAGGATGACTGTCTCTCCTGATTTCAGCAGGGGCCCTGGGTGGGCCAGGAGGGAAGGTTTTCTGTGGTTTCCTAGAAAGAGAAGTTGTGAGTTTAGAAGGCATCTCTCTTTATCATCCCATCCATGGCACCTGGAATGAGTGAGGGTTCCCCTCCCAGAGGTCTGTCTCTCTCCTCCCTCTCTGTGTCTCCGTGTCTTTTCTGTGCCCATATCCCCTGGTGCAGGTCCCTCCATTTGTCTTCCTCCCTCTTCTCTGTCCCTCTGTCTCCAGTAGCCCCTGACTCCCTTCCCACTGTGAAGAGAGCCTCATCTCTTGGGCTGTTGTATCTCTTTCCCACTAGTCTCTTTCCTGCTGTCTATGTGGGGGTGGAAGAGGACAGGCTGCATGTCCAGGCTCTCAGCAGCCTGAATCAATCTCTTTTGAACAAATTGGAGTCTCTGGCAGAGGTATCAACTCATCAGTAAGGCAGACATCAGTGTCCACACACCCTGTTCCTGATGGGGATTGGGAGCCTCTCCTGCCATGTCTGTGCCTTCTCCATGGCCCCAGCTTCCATAGGGTGGTCCCTGGTGCTGGTTCCAGGAGCATCAACCCCTTCCTATGTGGATGGAGCCTGGTGGTGGCATCAGCATCCCACCCTTGCTGATCCCACGGTAGCCAACCTTCTCCTTGTTTGGTTTCTTTAATTAATTGATTAATTAATTTATTTTTGAGACAGTCACTTTTTCACCCAGGCTGGAGTGCAGTGGTGTTGTCTTGGCTCACTGCAACCTCTGCCTCCCCGGTTCAAGTGATTATCTTGCCTCAGCCTCCCCAGTCGTTGGATTACTCGTGCCCACCACCACACCTGGCTATCCTTGTTTGGTTTCCTAGCTTGTCCTTGACCTGGGTTCCTGTGTCGGTTTCCTGTTGCTGCTGCAGAAAATTATCACAAACATGGCAGCAGGAGAGAACACACTGACCCCTTCCACTTCTGGGGACAGAAATTGGATCCAGTTCTCCCTGTGCTGAAATCAAGGCATCTGCAGGGCTGCGTTCCCTCTGGAGAATCAGCGAATCAGTTCTCTTGACTTCTCCAGCCCTTAGAGGCCACCTGCATTCTGTGACTAGTGGCCTTCCTCCACCTTCAAAGCCCACAGTGGCTGATAGCGTCTCCCTCCCACTACACTGCTCTAATCCCCACTCCCCTCTTCCTCCACCTCTCACGCGGACCCTTGTGATTACACTGAGCCCAGCAGGACAGTCCAGGCTGTCTCCCCATCTCAAGGTCAACTCATCAACAACCTGAGCTCCACCTTCCCCTTCAGTCCCCTGCCCTATAACATAAATAGTCACAGGCTCCAGGGTTTACAATGTAGCCATCATTGGCGACAGTGATTCTTCCCACCACAGCGCCCATTTCCCCTGTATTCAATCCCCCTTGACCCCAAATACAGTTGGGGCCTGGGTGATGGGACCCTGATGGACACCCCCACCAGAAGCTCTGGGATTCAGGAGGTGGGACAGTGAGAAGCCCAGACAGAAAGCCTCTGACCTGTGACCATGATCACCAGGGGGTTGCTGGGTGCCGACCACCCAGTGAGGGAGTGTGGGCGTGAACCCCGACATCTGTAGGTCCCTGCATGTGCTGGGGTCACAGGGCCCATGATGAAGCTCTCCTGGAATATTCTGCCGTGGAAGATGGGAACGTGGCTTCTGTCTTCTTTGTACAGCATGAAATTGTTAAACCCACGACGATAGTGACACTGAAGAGCCACGTGTCCTCCTCGAGGCACCACAGTGCTGGGCCGGGCAGACAGGAAGGGTTTGTCCTGACCACCTGGGGGAGAAGGAGGCACTGCCTTAGAGAGGAGGATGTGGAGCCGCCCCTCCCTCCCTGTGCTCAGAAGATTCTCCCATTTCCACTTTCTAAGGCTCCTACCACACCTGGGTGCCCAGGGCTACAGGAAGGACCCACCCCACATAGACATGGCGTCTCCCTACAACAAGTGTCAGCTGAGAACTTTGAGCAAGTGCTGAATAAGTGACTCTTACTAGATTTTAATACTGCAAAATTACTCACATAAAACAACACAAAGTAGACACGGCATGGAGGGCATGTCCTATGTGAATGGAATATCAGCCAATTCATGAACTGAGCCCCCTCAGAGGATTTGGAATGTCAGGGCCATGGCTGTGGTTTCCCCCCTCTTCTGGTAGAAAGACCGCAGCCACACTGCAGTCCCTACCGTCACGGAAACGCTGGAGGGTGTCAGTTATACCTTTGTCCTCAGAGGACCTGCTGTTCCTAGCACTGCATCCCTCTCTTTCTCTGCTGCTGACACCACTTCCTCCCTGCACACCCCAGCTTGGAGCACCCCAGTCTCACCCCAGTCTTCACAGAGCTTGACTCAGGAAAGGGAAAGAAAGGCCGGGGAGGGCGAGGTCAGAAATGTGGGCCGAGTATCCAAGGGTCCCCTCTTCCTAGTTTATGAGAGACTCCCCGACAGGACTTCCCTCCTGTTTCAGAAAAATCCTCTTATGTGGGGAGATGACACCCTAAGGTTTGGGGAAGGACTCACCCATGAGTGGCCAGGCCCCCTGCAGCAAGAAGAACCCTGGAAAGAAAGATCATGATAGACGATCCAACTGCAGGCAAACCAGGGCACCCTGCTGCCCCCACTGCACTGTGTGTCTTGGCAGCCAGGCCCTTGCTGGGCTGAAGGTAAACTTAGCCTCCCTGCTACCTGCTGCCAAGAACAGGGCTCTCAGCTGTGGAGAGACCCAGGCTCCAGGCCCAGATCAACACTTCCTGGCCCAGATCTCCACTCCAGGCCCATATCTCCACTCCAGGCCCCTATCTCCACTCCAGGCCCATATCTCCACATCAGACCCATATCTCCACTCCAGGCCCATATCTCCACATCAGACCCATATCTCCACTCCAGGCCCAGATCTCCCCTCTAGGCCCATATCTCCACTCCAGGCCCATATCTCCACTCCAGGCCCATATCTCCACATCAGACCCATATCTCCACTCCAGGCCCATATCTCCACTCCAGGCCCAGATCTCCACCTGCAGGCCCATATCTCCACCCCAGGCCCATATCTCCACTCCAGGCCCGTATCTCCACTCCAGGCCCATATCTCCACACCCAGGCCCATATCTCCCCTCCAGGCCCATATCTCCACTCCAGGCCCATATTTACACCTCCAGGCCCATATCTCCACACCCAGGCCCATATCTCCACTCCAGGCCCATATCTCCACTCCAGGCCCATATCTTTACCTCTAGGCCGAGATCTCCATCCCCACTCTCCCTCCCTCTATTCCCTTCCAGGACTCACCAACGCACGCCATGCTGACGACAGTGAGCGACATGGTGCTGCCGGTGCAGACAGGAGGCCGCGCCCCAGCTCAGCTCAGCAGCGCACAGGATGTTATTTGGCGCCCTGCCCATGCAGTTTACATGTTGACCACATCATGGGAGGGTGACGTACGCAGGCTCTTTCTACCTTGCATGAGGCCCAGTGGGTGCTCGCTCAAGAGCGGAACATGGCTTCCTGGAAATTGTTGTGACTACAATTGCCACCTTGCATCCTTCACTATGACCAGACTCAAAAGACGTCTCAGATCCAACCTCTCACACATGAGGTGATTGAATTCTGTGCTTACATTAAAGACTTTTGATGTATTTTTGTTTTTATCTGAGATTCAAACTTTTCTTCATGTGTAATGTGCAAAATATCTAAGAGGTATTATTAACATTATCAGAGTAATTGTGACAAAAAGCCATTCTAATTTTCCTGATGAGTTTCTAGTACTAAACCTGAGGCACGAGAATTGCTTGAACCTGGGAGGCGGAGGCTGCAGTGAGCTGAGCTCAAGCCACTGAACTCCAGCTTGGGTGACCGAGGAAGAGTCTGTCTCAAGAAAGAAAAAAAAAAGCAAACTAAATAACCTATAATAACAAATCAGAGAACTCAGGTTACCAAATTTTAAGGGGTTCTATAAGTTTATATGAAATGCAGCATCCTCATGAGAGGGGATACAGAGAACCACTGGGCAGAAAACTGTGTCTAAAATACATCTGTGGATACACAGTCCCTTTATAGTTGACAAAGGCTGCCATGTAGTTTAAGGTGGAATAGAATATTTTCTCAATAAATAACACAGGACCATAGGGTTACACGTAGGAAAAAATAAATCTAAACTTATCCTCACACTATAAAAACACTTCTTATTTTTTATCTTGTTGTTGTAAACTTTTTATGCTTTATTTTTAAGATTGACAAATAAAAATTATATACTGTGGTCCTTCACTATTCCTGGGTGATTGGTTCCAGGATCCCCATTCAGATACCAAAATCTGCAGATGCTCAAGCCCCTTGCATGAAATGGCATAGCGAAGCTGGGCACCGTGGCTCACGCCTGTAATCCCAGCACTTTGGGAGGCTGAGTTGGGTAGATCACGAGGTCAGGAGTTCAAGACCAGCTGGTCCAACATTCTGAAACCCCATCTCTACTAAAAATACACACACAAAAAAATTTATCTGTGCATGGTGGCACGTGCCTGTAATCCTAGGGGAGGCTACTGGGGAGGCTGAGGGAAGACAATCGCTTGAACCTGGGAGGCGGAGGTTGCAGTGAGCTGAGATCATGCCACTGCACTCCAGCCTGGGTGAGAGAGTGAGACTGTCTCAAAAAAAAAAAATAGCATAGTAATTGCATAGAACCCATGCACATCCTCCTGTATACATGAAATCATCTCTTGATTACTTATAATTCCTGACACAGCCTACACGCCACTCAATTTGTGTCGATTCAACATAGTTTTTTGCTTCTTGAAACTTCGGGGATTTTTTTCTGAAAATATTTTTGATTTATTGTTGGTTCAATAAACACCTGTAAACCCCACAGATATGGAGGACCGACTGTATATTTATATTATGAAAGATGATATGTTGATATGTGTCCCCGTGGAGATGAGGCTAACAAGGCCTATGACTCTACAAATGTTTCATCGTGGAATGACTCTGCCAGCTTTCCAGGTCTGCAGAGAGTAAGAATATCACTTGTTCATGTGATTCACGATCCTTGGAGCCTCCTATGTGCTGTATCTTTGGATGGAAATTGGAGTCTCAGAGACAAATCAGGCTCCATTCTGCTTCCAGAAGCTCAGAGTCCAGGGCTGAGAACCCAATGGAGAACAGATGGGGTTATGTGGACACGGTAATGATAACACCGGAAGCCTTAGGCAAGAAAAGAGTCTCGTTACCGAAACCATGAGGGCAGACATGTTTATTTGAAGGCGGGAAAACTACATTGAAATTATTTAAAAAATTTATAAGTTTTACTGCTGGCAGAAGGCTGAAAGATAGTCTGAAGGGAGGTGGAACAGCACGTGTCTAAGTGCTGTGTTAAGAGGCAGCCTCTTGTATGTTTGGAATTGTGAGTTCCTCAGTGTGATTGCAGCCTCAGGTAGACTAGGAAGTAAGCCAGTTAGGTTGGAGAGGTGGGCAGGGGTCAAGTGAAATGGAGAATTGTGGGCTAAGCAAAGGAGTGTGTTTTCTCTCCAGCAGGCAGTGGGGACCTTAGACATTTGTAAGCAAGAGAGAGGCATGTTCAGATTCGTGGTGTGAGGAAGAGCGATGCCCTAAGATGAAGACTGATGCCTTCAGATTCCAGCTGCTGGTACATGGGAGCTGGCAACCCGGTTTTGAGACAGGGCTGTTGTCTCCCTAGAAGATCCCCTCAAGGCCTGACTGTGGTGCTCGTGGACAGAAGACAACTTTGGATCTGGGCTCAGCATTTGGAAGTTCTATGTACATGCTGGTATCTGTTGGGGGTGTCTTGGGCCTCTCAGAAGGGCGAGTGATTTTTCTCTGTGTGAAAACACAGTGATCCAATTATGCGTATGACACCTCCTGATGGTCTTGTTCATCAGAATCCTGGAGAGAGGGAAATGCTGAGTGAGGGAGGGTGCTCACATTTTTCAGGACTCTTTGGGAATAAGACTAGCCACGAGGCTGGGCCGAGGAGCACCTACCTCGCTGTTCACTGTTCTGTTCCCTGCAGGCTCTTGGTCCATTACAGCAGCATCTGTAGAAGACGGAAGTCAACAAAAGAGCTCGGAGGGCACTTCTGGGTCCTCATTTCATAAGCAGATACCAACAAACAGGGGGAGGCCATAGGTGCCTGAGGTCCCTCAGTTGCCAACAGCAGACTCAGACATTCTATCTCTCTGAGTTCAAGGACCCATCCCATGAATAGCTCTGAGGTCCCATCCCATTGATTCTATCTCCCACTTTCTGCCTGTCATGGAACCTTCTCCTGGATGTGAGTGGCTGCAGGGGACGTGAGGATACAGTTCAGAATCAGGCAATGGTCTGTGAGCTGAAGGCAGGGGAAGGGAATCTGGTGCTCTCTCTAGAAAGTCCTGCCTCTGTGGCTCCTGTCTTGGGCCAGGGACCATCCTGCTGGTGAGGAACACACATCCGCGTGCTCCCATCCTGCTTCCCCACATGGCCCTGAGCTCTCTGGCCTCTGCTTCGTGAGACTTACTTTTTTTGTCGGAGCACCAGCGATGAAGGAGAAAGAAGAGGAGGATGGTGAAAGGGATTTTGACCACTGAGGTCCCAATCAGAACATGTAGGTGTCTGGGGTTACCTGGAAGAAGAGGAGACACCAATAAGAAGCTAATCATAGCAGTTCCTCTTTATGAATTGTCTCGCATTTCTTGATTGGCAGGTAACCACATACAACGTCTCTTTAGGACAAGCACCCAAATGGCGGGAGACCTAGCTTTCCCCTGCTTTCTCAATTATAGCTCTCATAGTAACCATAGAACGTGCTGAGGATACAACTACTTTAGTTGAGATGTTTGACCCTTTCAAACCTCACATTGAAATTTCACCCCCATTGTGGGAGGTTGGGCCTCTTCAGAGGTGTTTGGGTCATGGAGGTGGATCCATCATGAACAGACCAATGCTGTCCCAAGGAGACGGGGTTAGCAAGTTCCCCCTCTGTTAGTTCCTGGAGAGCTGGTTGTTAAAAAGAGCTTGGAAGCTCCATCGCTCCCTCTCCCCCTTACTCTCTCTCTTGCCGTGTGATCTCTGCGGTCTCTGCACAGACAGACCCTCCTTCCCTTCTGCCAGAGTGGGAGCAGCCTGAGGCCATCACGAGAAATAGATTCTGGTGCCATGCTTCCAGTACAGCCTGCAGAACTGTGAGGCAAACCAATCTCTTTTCTTTAGAAGTTACCCAGGCTCAAGTGTTCCTTTAGAGCAACAAAAATGGACTAAGATAGCAACATCCTGAGATCAGGAGGAATGTCTCAGAACAGCCTGGGCTGTCTTCCTGTTCTTCCTGGAGGAGGACGTCATGCAGTGCTTTAGCTGAGTGCTTCCTGTGGCTCCAGGGTACAAAACCCAGGCTGGGCTGCTTTCTGGCTTCCCCCAGTTACACTGCAAATGGGGTGACTCCATATGTCCCGAGCAGCTTTTCTGAGCCTTGAGGGACTGGCTCACATTGAAATGCAGGCTTCTGTTGTCACTCACTGCTTATCTGTTAGTAATGAACCTGCCTATGTAACGTATTCTCTGTGTGTTCTGTCTCCCTGGAGTGACGGTGAGTGATAGGAATTGGCATAGGCCCAGGTGCAGTCCAGGATTTGTTTAGAGTCTTCTCTGGGAAGACTGCACTGGGATTGATACACAGCGAATGTGCTTTAGGATTTCTACATCCACAGCATTCTTGAGTCAAACAAATTGCATTCACCAAGGAAAGGAAACAAAGGTGAAATCACGATTAAAAATAGCGAAGCAAGATTCTCTTATGTCAAACAGCCAGAAAATAGTGTTGAAGCCCGTGTGAAATGTGCTGCTCTTTGTGATCTCGGGAGACACATGTTAGGCTGCTGTTCTACCCGAGAGGCTGGGGGAAGGACCACCCCCTCCACCATCTATTGCTTCAATACCACCTGTCCTCCTGTGAATTAGTAGGAAAGGGGAACAGGAGCTAGTGCTGTCGCTGATCTCTGATTCCAAGATCTGGACTCACTCCAAGGAGTATTAATGTTTCCTCCCCATGGTCTATCTGAATCTCCACAGGTGATTGGAAGTAGGGGTGAGGTGGGGGATTTGGGTGAGTGGGCAAGTTTTTTTTTGCGATGACCAGAGCACTTTCTCTATTCCAGGATCCGTGCTGGAGGATTCAGCGGGCTTTCACATTTTCTATGTGATCTCATGCTCACAGAAAGCCAAATAGGGAAGAGGTTTTAGGCTCATTGCCTAATGGATAAGATAAAGGATCAAAGAAGTAATTATAGAGAAATAGAAAAATGATGATTGGAATTCAGGTGCCTTTGTCATTCGTGTGTGTTTTATTATATTTATGCATTTCTTATTTTTATTTTTTGAGACGGAGTCTCCTTGTGTCACCCAGGCTGGAGTGCAGTGATGCAATCTCCACTCACTGCAACCTCCACCTCCTGGGTTGAAGTCATTCTCCTGCTTCATCCTCCAGAGTAGGAGCTGGGATTACAGGGATGCACCACCATGCTCGGCTAATTTTTGTATTTTTAGTAGAGACAGGGTTTCACCATGTTGGCCAGGCTGGTCTGGAACTCCTGACTTCATGGAATCCACCCGCCTTGGCCTCCTGCAGTGCTGGGTTACAGGCGTGAGCCACCGTTCACAGACTTGTATATTATGCTATAATAGGTCCCTTCATTTCCACCACCCCTCATATATCTGTCACTCCTTTGCCAGGTATTGATTTATGTGTAGGATGAATAAATCTCAGAAAGAAATTAATTAAGCGAGGATTAAACAAGTAGGAAAATCAAACCCAGCAAGCCTTTCCAGCCAATGATTCTACCTCACAAACATAGCTTATATCCATCTGCTTCATCCACTTAGTGTCAAAATCAGCACCACATTTCACCAGTGGGGTGGCAATTGCC
Source organism: Homo sapiens (assembly GCF_000001405.40). Taxonomy (NCBI): domain Eukaryota; kingdom Metazoa; phylum Chordata; class Mammalia; order Primates; family Hominidae; genus Homo; species Homo sapiens. The sequence goes on along the minus strand of NW_016107307.1, from coordinate 146,486 downwards.
TTTTCCACAGTCTCCTAGATTCCAGTTACGCACCTGGGCCTCCCTTATTTTCATGTCAGTCACTATTAATCATGTAGGGATTCCTGGTTACCTCGAGGTGAATCCAACGGCTGTGAGTGTCAAACACACACTCCTTGTTGCTCCTTAGTTTCCTGTGTACCCAGTGTGCTCTCCGTCTCTCTACAGTTGTCTTGTCATTCTCCCCATCTCATTCCCAGCATTTCAGGCAGAGCCTCTTCCTTCCACATCAGATTGTTTTCAGCTTTCTGCCTTCACGGCTGACAGCTGTGTGTGGAAAATCCTTCCGCCAATCTTTCAGGGGTTCAATCCGTGTTTTTCATTAATGTCACAAATATCTGATTAGTGAGACCTTCTCTGTCACCCAAAATTATACACTCAGCATTATCTATTATTGATTTTGAATTCTGGCTGGGCACAGTGGCTCACGTCTTTTATCCCAGTACTTTGGGATGCTGAGATGGTTGGATCACTTGAGGTTGGGAGTTTCAGACAAGCTTGGCCAACATGGTGAAACATCCTCTCTACAAAAAATATACAAAAAGAATTAGCCGGGCATGGTGGCAGTTGCCTGTAATCCCAGCTACTCGAGAGGGTGAGGCAGGAGAATCACTTGGATCCAGGAGACGCAGGTTGCAGTGAGCCAAGATCGTGACACTGCACTGTAGCCTGGAAGACAGAGGGAGACTCTGTCTCAATAAACAAACGAACAAACAAACAAATAGATTTCATGCACAGATGCTTCCCAATGGATCATTCATTTATTGGTCCACTTGTGCATTCATTTTCTGTCCTCCCATTTAACCATCTGCAATATCAGTGTCCCAAGAGCAGAGGCCAAATGCATCTTGTTCACCATTTGTGGAAGGCAGGAGAATGCTGTCCCACCCCAAAATGTCCCTGTCCTAGCCTCCATAGCTTGTGAATATGTTATTTTACATGGAAAGGAGGAATGAAGATTGCAGATGGAATTATGGTTGCTAATCAGCTGAACTTAAAACAAGGGTATCCTGAATGATTTCCGGGAGATTATGACGGATTTTCATCTTGGTGAACCCAATAGAATCCCCAAGTTTTCAAAAGATGAGGAAGAAGGGAGAGCAGCATTCAGAGAAAGAGGTGTGGTAAGGAAGAAGGGTCTGAGTGATGCCATGTGAGATGTGACCAGTCTTTGTGGGTTTTGAGGAAGGAGGAAGGGGACCAGCAGCCAAGGAACTGGGAGCCTTTATAAGATGGGACAAGTGAGAAGCAGATTCTTGCCTGGAATCCTCAGAGGGAAGGCAGGCTTGCTGTCATCTTGATTTTAGCCCAGTGAGATGCACTTCATGCTTTGAGCTAGAGCACTGTAAGATAATTAAATAACCGTTTTGTTTTCACCCACGAATCTTGTGGAAATTTGTTATGGCAACAATAGGAAAAGCTTCCACACTGCACAACCTGAGCATGGGGCCGTGGCTGAATAAGTCAGTGAGTCAAAGTGTGCGTGCATGAGCTCTGTTCTCTGTTACGGCAAGGCTCTTGCTCTGCTGAGTCAGCCAGGGTTGTTTCATGACCAACAGGAGCTCATTCCTTGGCAAGTGGAACTTCTCTAAAACACCTCGCCCTCATCAGATGTTCGCTTCCCTTCCCTCTCTCAAGCCCCCAGGAATTTATCCTCCAGTTAGGAATGCAAGCAGAACAAACATTGCATTTTTCCTGAGAAGGATGTCAGATTGGCAATCATTCTTCTAGCTTGTAGGAGGTCTCAGCTCCATAAAATGAGAGATGAAGAGATTTCACTGAGCCCTGTGTTGGGCCCAGATCCCTTTCGCTGTTGGAGTATCTGGAGTTCGGAGATGGTAGAAGACAGGCGTACAATGTCAGAGCTGTGAGATGCTGAGTCAACGCCTGAATCCAAGGTTTCCACCTCCCCAGGGTTCCAAAAGCGGATATAAGAGGGTCCTGTACTCACCGGTTTTGGAGCTTGGTTCAGTGGGTGAAGGCCAACTATTTGAAGGGTTTCCTAGAACATGAGACAGGAGAGAGGTGAGGAAATGAGGGTGTCTGTCCTCTACTCAGTGGAAATCTTTGAGTTTGGTTCATGGCCAACACTCTGTTATCTAACATTGGGCCCTGGGAGTCCAGGGATCCTTTCTTCCATAATTTTTGTATGTGACGCCCACTGTCTTGAGACTTCAAGGTATAAAGAGAAAACAGGAGCATCACACTACCTGATCTCAAAATATGTTACAGAGCTGTAGTAAGCAAAACAGCATGATGTTGGCATGAAGAAAGGCACATAGAACAACGGAGCAGAATGAAGAACACAGATATAATCCATGCATTTACATCCAATTTTTTTTATTTTTTCTTTTGAGATGGAGTCTCGCTCTGTCACCCAGGCTGGAGTGCAGAGGTGCAATCTCGGTTCACTGCAACCTCAGCCTCCTGGGTTCAATCAATTCTCTTGCCTCAAACTCCTGAGTAGTAGTATTACAGGTGCTGACCACCATGCTCAGCTAATTTTTATATTTTTAGTGGAGACGATGTTTCATCACGTCGGCCAGAGTAATCTTGTACTCCTGTCCTCAGGTGATCCACCAGCCTTGGCCTCCCAAAGTGCTGAAGTTGCTGGTGTTAGCCACCATGCCCAGCCCATCCAATGGACTTTGACAAAGGTGCCAAGAACTCACAATCAGGAAAGGACAGTTTTTTCAATAAACAGTGCAGGGAAACCTGGACATCTACATGCAGAGGAATGAAACTGCACCTCTACCTGTCACCATACACAAAAATCAAATGAAAGTGGATTAAAGATGTGAGTCTAAGGCCTGAACCTGTGAAACACGTAGAAGAAAATATTGGGGAAATGCTCCAGGACATTTGTCTGAAGGAAGACATTTTGTTTTAAACCTTCAAAACACAAGTAATCGAAGCAAAAATAGACCATTGGGATTACCTCAAACTAAGCAACTTCTGCACCGCTAAAAATAAACCAACAAAGTGAAGAGACAACCCACAGATTGGGAGCAAATATGTGCAAACTATGCATCTGAGACGGGATTAATAACTAGAAGTATAAGAAGCTCAAACAACTCAATAAAACAAATGATTTAATTGAAAAAGGAGCAAAAGACATGAAATTTCCCCACATACGAAAAAGTGCTCAGTATCACTCATCATCAGAGAAACGCGAATTAAAATCAAAGTGAGTTTTCATCTCACCCCATTAAAATGGCTTTTAGGCCGGGCGAGGTGGCTCACGTCTGTCATCCTAGAACTCTGAGAGCCCGAGGTGGGCGAATCTCATAAGGTCGGGAGTTTGAGACCAGTCTGACCCACATGGAGAAACGCTGTCTCTACTAAAAATACAAAAATTAGTCGGGCGTGGTGGCGTGTGCCTGTAATTCCAGCTACTCGGGAGGCTGAGGCAGGAGAATCGCTTGAACCTGGGAGGTGGAGGTTGCGGTGAGCCGAGATCGCACCACTGCACTCCAGCCTGGGTGAGAAGAGCGAAACTCCATCTCAAAATAAAATGAAATAAAATAAAATGGCTTTTAGCTGCAAGACAGGCAAAAGAAATGCTGGCAAGGTGGTAGAGAAAGGAGAACCCTGGTACCCTGTTGGTAGGAGTGTAAATTAGTACAGCCATTACGGAGAAAAGTATGGAAGTCCTTTAAAGAACTAAAAAGAGGTTGGATGAAGTGGATCATGCCTGTAATCCCGGCACTTTGGGAGACCGAGGCGGGCACCTCAGTTGAGGTCATGAGTTTGAGAGCAGCCTAGCCAACCTGGGGAAACCCCATGTACACTAAAAAAAACCAAAAAGTATCCCGGCATGGTGGCGTGCACCTGTAATCCCAGCTACTAGGGAGGCTGAGGCAGGAAAATCATTTGAACCCAGGAAGCGGAGGTTGCAATGAGCCAAGATCACATCACTTGTACTCCAGCCTGGGCACAGAGGGAAACTGTCTCAAAAACAAAAACAAAACAACAAACGAAAAACTAAAAAGAGAACTTTCATAGTATCCAGCAATTTCACTACTGGGTTTATATCCAAAGGAAAGTAAATCAATGTATCGAAGTGATATCTGCACTCGTATGATTGGTGCAGCACTCTTCACAGTAGCCAAGATGTGGAGTCAACCTACCTGCCCATCAGTGGATGAATGGATAGAGAGAATGTAGTACATACGCACAGCGGAGACTACTCATCCATAGAAAGAATAACATCCTGATATTTGCAGCCACATGGATGGAACTGGAAGTCATTACAAAGATTCCCATTTCTCACCCATATACAGGAGCTAAAAGGTGGATCTCATGAAGATAGAGAGTAGAATGGTGGCTACCAGAGGCCAGGAAGAAAAGGGTGGAGGATAAAACAAACAAACAAAAAATTTATATGTATGTATTTATGACCACTAGACCTTACACTTAAAATTGGTAAACGTGGCCGGGCGCGGTGGCTCATGCCTGTAATCCCAGCACTTTGGGAGCCTGAGGCGGGTGGATCACGTGGTCAGGAGTTCCAGAGCAGCTCGACCAACATGGTGAAACCCCCTCTCTACTAAAAATACAAAAAGTAGCCTGGCGTGGTGATGGGCGCCTGTAGTACCAGCTACTCAGGTGGCTGAGGCAGGAGAATCGCTTGAACCCAGGAGGCGGAGGTTACAGTGAGCTGAGATTGTGCCACTGCATTCCAGCATAGGAGACAGAGCTAGACTCCACCTCAAAAAAAAAAAATGTTAAAAGTGGTAAGCTATATAGGTATATTTAACCTCAATGAATATTTTTTCAAACAAAAAGAAAAGGATGTAGGGGTTGCTGGTGATGACATCTCTGTGTGGGTGAGAGGCCAGGAAGGGCTTCTGGGAAATGGGTAAGGTTGAGGGGCTGAGGGAACCTCTGATCTCCCCAAACTGAGCCCAGTCTCCCCTGCTCTGGGTCTCTCCTGACCGCTTTCTACATCTGCCTGGGTGCCTGGAGCCCTAATCGGAGGCCTCCATGCAGGCCATGCAGGAGGGTTTGGAGGTGCTGTGTGTGCCATCCTGCGCCCTGATCCCTCCCTCACAGGCATGCTGCGTCTTCTCTCTGCATCTGTCCATGCTTCTCTCCATCATCAGCAGGAAGCTCCTCAGCTAAGGCTCTAGGATCATAGGACATGGGACAGATATGGGGTTTCCTCACCTGTGACGGAAACAAGCAGTGGATCACTCGAGTTTGACCACTCGTAGGGAGCGTCACGGAAAGAGCCGAAGCATCTGTAGGTCCCTCCGTGGGTGGCAGGGCCCAGAGGAAAGTCGGCCTGGAATGTTCCGTTGATGCTGCGCACTGCAGGGAGCCTACGTTCATGGGCCTCCCCTTCCCTGGATAGATGGAGCTGCAGGACAAGGTCACATTCTCTCCTGCCTGAACCGTGGGGCCCGGCTGGGCTGAGAGAGAAGGTTTCTCATATAGACCTGGAAGGAGAAGGGGCAGTTTCCTCAGGGGGGATCTTCCTTGTCACAGCTCCCCTCACACCTGACCTGAGAACTCACTCCCCTGCTCTATGGCCTAATGCTCTCTTTCTCTGTCTCACCCTCCACCCCATCTCTCTTCATGTCTATTTCCTCCTTCCACCTTCTCTGTCTCTGTAGGTCTCTGACCTCACTTCCCTACCTCTAGTTATGTTTTCCGTTTTTGGATTGTTTTATTCTCTCTGGCTCTCCTTGGATTGGTTGACTTGATGTTACTTTTTTTAACTCTGAGTTTCTCAGTTTGTGTCCCGTTCATAACTTTCTGCATATTTCTATCTATTATCTATCAATCCATCTATTTATCTATTCGGTGCCTATCTACAAATTCTCTACCTGTCATCTATATCTATATATCATCTATTTATCTATCAATTGTCTATCCGTCAATCATCTATTATCTATATATATGTATCATCTCTCTCTCTCTATTATTTCTCTCTTTGTCTTCCTCTCTATCTCTATGTATTATCTATCCATCTACCTTCATCATCATCATCTCTATGTATCATCTATTAATGAATCAATCAATCATCATCTATGTATCTATAACCTATTATCTATCATCTACCTATATATCATCTATCTATATCTATCCATCATCTATCTGTATCTATCCATCTATCATCTGTCTTGCTCTGCCTCTCGGTCTCTCTAGTTCTCTTTGGAATCTCTGCAATTCATCCCCACATCTCCATCTTTCTATGCCCTTGTGCCTCGCCCTCAGGACTCTAATTTTAGTGGTTTTCTCTGCTCTCTTCCATCATTCTCTCCACTTCTCTGCCCTCTTCTCTCTCTTTATGTGTCTGTGAGTCTCTCAATCTCCTTCCTCTGGCTCTTTCTCTGTGTGTTTATGTCTTTGCTTTTTGGTGTCCCTGATTTCTCTCTGTGCTTCTCAGTGATCCTCTCATATGTGATATGTGGGGTTATTTGGAATGTGAGCCTCAGAATCCAGTCTGGAGACCACAAGTTCACACAGCATACAGGGGTTGGTGTTCTGGGGCCATGATATTTTGGGACGATTATTCTCCATTGCATGGAAGTCAGAGGTGTCAGAATAAGCATGGCATCTGTAGGTGCCACAAGGCCTGAGGCCACAGGGCCCAACTCAGGTCAGAAATATGGGTGTCCTTGGGTTCTCCTGGTAGAGAACACTTTGTGGAGGTAAAACAGAAATGAAACTTCTAACCTGTGCCAGGTCTCTGAGCAAAGTCAGCATGGAAGGACACCTCTGTCTGGGACATGTCTGTCTGTCTCCTTTAACTCTTTCTGTCTTTTCTAACTCCCTGTATGGCCCCTGTGTTTGTCCTCTGTTATGACACCTGGTCTGTACTTGTGTCTCTTGTTTCTCTGTCTCTGTTGGCACAGACCTCACCAAGTCAGTCTCTCTCCATAAGAATACCAAGCTCATCTTCCTTACAACCACCTGGGTCTCCAAGTCCTGGATCATTCACTCTGCATCCCAATGACAATGAGAAGAATGTCTGGACACTCTCACCTATGATCACCATGTCCAGAGGGTCACTGGGAGCTGACAACTGATAGGGGGAGTGAGTAACAGAACCGTAGCATCTGTAGGTTCCTGCAAGGACAGGCATCATGGGACCAATGGAGAAGTTGGCCTTGGAAACCCCATCATGGTGCTCTCCAATGAGGTGCAAAGTGTTGTTAAACTTCCCCTCTCTGTGCAGAAGGAAGTGCTCAAACATGACATCCGACCAACATTGCAGGATGACTGTCTCTTCTGATTTCACCAGGTGACCTGGGAGGGCCAGGAAGGAAGGTTTTCTGTGGACTTCTAGGAAGAGAGGTTGTGAGTTTAGAAGGTGTCTCTCTTTATCATCCCATCCATGGCACCTGGAATGAGTGAGCCTTCCCTTCGCTGGTGTCTGTCTCTCTGCTTCCTCTCTGTGTCTTCATGTTCTTTTCTGTGCCCATAACTCCTGGTGCAGGTCCTTCCATCTGTCTCCCTCCCTCTTCTCTGTCCCTCTGTCTCTAGTAGCTGTGATTCCCTTCCCACTGGGCTCAGCCTCATCTCTTGGGCTGTTGTATCTATTTCACACTAATGTCTTTCTTACTGTCTATGTGGGAGTGGAAGAGGAAGCAGGATAGGCTGCACGTCCCGGCTCTTAGCAGCCTGGTTCAATCTCTTTTGGACGAATTGGAATCCTTGGCAGGAGGTATGAACTGATCAGTAAGGCAGGCACCAGTGTCCACACACCCTGTTCCTGGTGGGGACTGGGAGCCACTCTTGCCATGTCTGTGCCTTCTCCATGGTGCCAGTTTCCATAGGCTGGCTCCTCGTGCTGATTTGAGGAGTATCAACCCCTCCCTATGTGGATGGAGCCTGGTGGTAGCATCATCATCCCACCCTTGCTGATCTCGGTGTAGCCAACCTTCTCTTTGTTTGGTTTCTTTAATTAATTAATTAATTTTGGAGACAGAGTCTCACTCCTTCGCCCAGGCTGGAGTGAAGTGGTGTGGTCTACGCTCACTGCAACCTCTGTCTCCTGGGTTCAAGCGATTCTCCTGCTCTCAGCCTCCCGAGTCGCTAGGATTACATGCACCTGCCACCATGCCTGGCTATCCTTGTGTCTTTTCTTAACTTGTCCTTGACCTGGGTTCCAGTGTTGGTTTCCTGTTGCTGCTGTAGAAAATTATCAGAAGCATGGCAGCAGGAGAGAGCACACTGACCCCCTCCGATTCTGGAGACAGAAAGCGGACGCTGTTTTTCGAGGGCTAAAATCAAGGCATCTGCAGGGCTGTGTTCCCTCTGGAGACTCAGGAGAATCAGTTACTTGACTTTCCCAGCCTCTATAGGCCACCTGCATTCATGGCTTATGGCCTTCATCCACCTTCAAAGCTGATGGAGTCTCCCACTACGCTGCTCTAATCCCCACTCTCCTCTTCCTCCTCCTTTCATGTGGACCCTTGTGATTATACTGAGCCCACCGGGACAGTCCAGGCTGTCTCCCCATCTCAAGGTCAACTCATCAACAACCTGAGCTCCATCTTCCCCTTCAGTCCCTTCCCCTATAACATAAATAGTCACAGACTCCAGGGATTAGAATGCAGTCATCATTGGGGACACTTATTCTTCCCACCACAGCACCCATTTCCCTGTATTCAATCCCCCTTTACCCCAAATACAGTTAGGGCCTGCGTGATGGGACCCTCAAGGACATGCCTACCAGAAGCTCTGGGATTCAGGAGGTGGGACAAGGAGAATCCCAGACAGGAGCCCTCTGACCTGTGACCATAATCACCAGGGGGTTGCTGGGTGCCGACCACCCACTGGGGGAGTGTGTGTGTGAACCCCGGCATCTATAGGTCCCTGCATGTGACGGGGTCACAGGGCCCATGAAAAGGCTTTTCCAGAATATTCTGTTGTACAGCTCAGGGACAGGCACCCCATCATCCTTGTACAGACTGAAGTTGTTAAACCCAAGATTAGAGTGACACTGAAGAGTCACATGTTCTGGAGGCACCACAAGGCTGGGCCAGGTAGAAAGCAAGGGCTTGTCCTGACCACCTTGGGGTGAAGGAGGCGCCGCCTTAGAGAGGAGGATGTGGAGCTGTGCCTCCCTCCCTGTGCTCAGAAGATTCTCCCCACTTTCCACATTTCTATGGCTGCTATCACACCTTGGTGCCTAGGGCTAAAGGAAGGACCCATCCCACAAAGACAAGGTGTCTCCGTACAACAAAAGTGTCAGCTGAGAACTTTGAGCAAGTGCTGAGTAAGAGACTCCTACTAGATTTTAATACTGTAAGATTACTCACATAAAACAACACAGGGTAGACATGAAGTGGAGGGCATGTCCTTTGAGAATGGAATATCAGCAGTTGCCTGAATGAAAATAAAAAACTTAGCCCCCATCAGAGGATTTGGAATGTCAGGGCCATGGCTGTGGTTTCCCACCTCTTCTGGTAGAATGACAGCAGCCACACTGCAGCCCCTACCATCATGGAAACGCTGAAGTGTGTGAGTAACACCTTTGTCCTCAGAGGATCTGCTGTTCCTACCACTTCCCCACCACACAACCCAGCTTTGAACACCCTAGTCCAACCCTGGTCCCCACACAACTTGACTCTGCCAAGGGGTTGAGAGGCCAGGGAGGCAAGGTCGGAACTGTGGGCCGAGCACCCCAGGGTCCCCTCTTCCTAGTTTATAAGAGACTCCCTGACAGGACTTCCCTCCCGTTTCAGGAAAATCCTCTTATGTGGGGAGATGACACCCTAAGGTTTGGAGAAGGACTTACCCTCCTGTGGCCAGGCCCCCTGCAGCAAGAAGAACCCTGGAAAGAAAGATCATGATGGAAGATCCATTTGCAGGCAAACAAGGCCTTCCTTGCTGCCCCCACTGGGCTGTGAGTCTTGATAGCCAGCCCCTTCCTGGGCCGAAGGGAAACTCACCATCAGTGCCTACCTGCACCCAAGAACAGTGCTCTCGGCTGTGCAGAGACCCAGCCTCCAGGCCCATATCCCCACCCCAAGCCCATATCTCCACTCCAGGCCCATATCTCCACTCCAGGCCGATATTTCCACCCTAGACCCATATAGCCAATCCGGGCCCACATCTCCAATCCAGGCTCAGATCTCCACCCTAGGCCCATATCTCCAATCCAGGCCCATATCTCCACTCCAGGCCCATATCTCCTCTCCAGTCCCATATCTCCACTCCAGGCCCATATCTCCACCCCAGGCCCAGATCTCCACCTCCAGGCCCATAACTACACTCCAGGATCATATCTCCACTCCAAGCCCATATCTCCACATCAGGCCCATATCTCCACTCCAGTCCCATATCTCCACACCCAGGCCCATATCTCCATTCCAGGCCCATATCCCCATCCTAGGCCCATATCTTCACCGTAGGCCCAGATCTCCACTCCAGGCCCATATCTCCACTCCAGGGCCATATCTCCACTCCAGGCCCATATCTACACACCAGGCCCATATCTCCACCCCATGCCCATGTCTCCACTCCAGACCCATATCTCCACCCCATGCCCATATCTCCACTCCAGGCCCATATCTCCAACCCACGCCCATATCTCCACCTCCAGGCACATATCTCCACCCCATGCCCGTATCTCCACTCCAGTCCCATATCTCCACTCCCGGCCCATGTCTCCACCCCATGCCTATATCTCCACTCCAGTCCCATATCTCCACTCCAGGCCCATATCTCCACTCCAGAACCATATCTCCACTCGGCCCATATCTACACTCCAGGCCCATATCACCACCTCCAGGCCCATATCTCCACTCCAGGCCCATATCTCCACCTCCAGGCCCATATCTCCACTCCAGACCCATATCTCCACTCCAGGCCCATATCTCCACTCCAGGCCCATATCTCCACTCCAGGGCCATATCTCCACTCCAGGCTCATATCTCCACTCCAGGCCCATATCTCCACTCCAGGGCCATATCTCCACTCCAGGCTCATATCTCCACTCCAGGCCCATATCTCCACTCCAGGGCCATATCTCCACTCCAGGCCCAGATCTCCACCTCCAGGCCCGTATCTCCACTCTAGTCCCATATCTCCACTCCAGGCCCATATCTCCACCTCCAGGCCCATAACTTCACTCCAGGCCCATAACTCCACTCCAGGCCCATATCTCCACCTCCAGGCCCATATCTCCACTCCAGGGCCATATCTCCACTCCAGGCTCATATCTCCACTCCAGGCCCATATCTCCACTCCAGGGCCATATCTCCACTCCAGGCCCAGATCTCCACCTCCAGGCCCCTATCTCCACTCTAGTCCCATATCTCCACTCCAGGCCCATATCTCCACCTCCAGGCCCATAACTTCACTCCAGGCCCATAACTCCACTCCAGGCCCATATCTCCACCTCCAGGCCCATATCTCCACTGCAGACCCATATCTCCACTCCAGGCCCATATCTCCACTCCAGGCCCAGATCTCCACTCCAGGCCCAGATCTCCACTCCAGGCCCAGATCTCCACCTCCAGGCCCCTATCTCCACTCTAGTCCCATATCTCCACTCCAGGCCCATATCTCCACCTCCAGGCCCATAACTTCACTCCAGGCCCATAACTCCACTGCAGACCCATATCTCCACTCCAGGCCCATATCTCCACTCCAGGACCATATCTCCACTCCAGGCTCATATCTCCACTCCAGGCCCATATCTCCACCTCCAGGCCCATAACTTCACTCCAGGCCCATAACTCCACTCCAGGCCCATATCTCCACTCCAGTCCCATATCTCCACTCCAGTCCCATATCTCCACCCTAGGCTCCTACCTCCCCTCCAGGTTCCTATCTCTCCTCCAGGTTCCTCTCTCCACTCCAGGTTCCTATCCCCACTCCAGGCCCATATCTCCACTCCAGGCCCAGATCTTCACTCCAGGCCCAGATCTCCACTCCAGGCGCAGATCTCCACTTCTAGGCCCATCACTCCATCTCTAGGCCCAGATCTCCACTCCAGGCCCAGATCTCCACTCCAGGCCCATAACTCCACCTCCAGGCCCATATCTCCACCTCTGGGCCCAGATCTCCATCCCCACGCTCCCTCCCTCTATTCCCTTCCAGGACTCACCAACACACGCCATGATGATGACCATGAGCGACATGGTGCTGCCGGTGCAGACAGGCGGCCGCGCCCCAGCTCAGCTCAGCAGCGCACAGGATGTTATTTGGCGCCCTGCCCATGCAGTTTACATGTTGACCACATCATGGGAGGGTGACGTACGCAGGCTTTTTCTACCTTGCATGAGGCCCAGTGGGTGCTCGCTCAAGAGCGGAACATGGCTTCCTGGAAATTGCTCTCACTAGAATTGACACCTCGCGTCCTTCACTATGACCAACTCAAAACACGTCTTAGATCCAACCTCCCAAACATGAGATGCCTAAAATCTGTGCTAACATGAAAGACTTTTCATGAATTTTTATTGTTTTTATCTGAGATTCGAACTCTTCTTCCTGTGTAATATGCAAAATATCTAATAGGTATTATTAGTGTTTTCAGAGTCATTGTGACTAATAAACCATTAGAATTGTTCATGCTTGTATTTCTAGTATTACAGCAGAACCAGTTCAAATGATTTAAATTCCCAGGGAAGGATTATGCAATTATTTACAATCTTAGAATTGTACTTTATCAGCAAAAACCACACATGTAAATTCTGGATTTTTGTAGTTTTATCTATAATTTGTCTCATGACTCAAGATTCCAGAGTCCCAACTTTGGAGTTTGCTCTCTCTCTGTCTCTCTGCCTCCCTCATTTTAAATTTTACAGAAATATCCAGTAACATAATGCTATAGAAAATCAAGTTTCCCCCAGCAGGTCGGGAAGCCGAGGTGGGCGGATCAACTGAGATGAGGAGATTGAGAGCAGCCTGGCCAACACAGTGAAACCGCGTCTCTGCTAAAAATTCAAAAATTAGCCATGCCTGGTGGCAGGCACCTGAAACGCCAGCTACTCAAGAGACTGAGGCACGAGAATCGCCTGAACCTGGGAGGCGGAAGTTGCAGTGAGCTGAGATTGTGTCACTGCAGTCCAGCCTGGGCGACAGAGCAAGACTCCGCCTCAAGAAAAAAAAATAGCAAGTAGCCTATAATAACAAATTAGAGGGCTCTGGCTACTAAATTTAAAGGGTTTTATAAGGCTACATGAAGTGCAGCATCCTCAAGAGTGTGGACACAGAGAGCCCCTTAGCAGAAACAGTGTCTAAAATACATCCGTGTACACACAGTCCCTTTAGAGTTGACAAAGGCTGCCGTGTGGTTTAAGGTGGCATAGAATGTCTTCTCAATAAATAATATTAAACCAAAGGGTTACACGTAGGAAAAAATAAATCTAAACTTATTCTCACACTATAAAAACACTTCTTACTTTTTATCTAGTTATTGTACATTTTTTATGATTTATATTTAAAATTGAGAAATAAAAGTCATATACGGTCATCCTTTACTATTCGTGGGTGATTGGTTTCAGGATCTCCACTCAGGTACCAAAATCTGCAGATGCTCAAGCCTCTTACATAAAATGACACAGCATTTGGATATAACCCATGCACATCCTCCTGTATACATGAAATCATCTCTTGATTACTTATAATTCCTGATACAGCCTACACACTGCCTCATTTGTGTCCATTCAACATAGTTTTGCATTTTGAAACTTTGTGGACATTTTCTCTGAATATTTTTGATTTACACTTGGTTCAATAAACACCTGTAAACCCCACAGATATGGAGGAGCGACTGTATATTTATAGTATGAAATATGATGTGTTGATATGTGTCCCCGTGGAGATGAGACTAGCAAGGCTTATGACTCTACAAATGTTTCATCGTGGAATGACTCTGCCAGCTTTCCAGGTTGCAGAGAGTAAGAATATCACTTGTTCATGTGATTCACGATCCTTGGAACCTCCTATGTGCTGCATCTTTGGATGGAAATTGGAGTCCCAGAGACAAATGAGGCTCCACCCTGCTTCCAGAAGCTCAGAGTCCAGGGGTGAGAACCCAGCGGAGAACAGATGGGGTTATGTGGACATGGTAATGATAACAGCGGTTTCTTTCAGCGAATACAGTGTCACATTACCTGAAGCAATGAGGGCAGACATGTTTATTTGAAGAGGAGACAGCTACATTGAAATCACAAAAAATTTTATAAGTTTCACTGCTGACAGAAGGCTGGAAAATAGTCCGAAGAAAGGTGAAACAGCATGAGGGAAGGTGGAACAGCACGTGGGTAAGTGCCACGTCAAGAGGGAGCCTCTTGTATGTTTGGAATTGTGAGTTCCTCAGTGTGATCGCAGCCTCAAGTAGACTAGGAAGTAAGCCAGTTAGGTTGGAGAGGTGGGCAGGGGTCAAGTGAAATGGAGAACTGTGGGCTAAGCAAAGGAGTGTGTTTTCTTTCCAGCAGGCAGTGGGGACCTAGACATTTGTAAGCAAGAGAGAGGCACCAGATTTGTGGCGTGAGGAGGAGCGATGCCCTAAGATGAAGACTCACGCCTTCAGATTCCAGCTGCTGGTACATGGGAGCTGGCAACTCGGTTTTGAGACAGGGCTGTTGTCTCCCTAGAAGACGCCCTCAAGGCCTGACTGTGGTGCTCATGGGCAGGAGACAACTTTGGATCTGGGCTTAGCATTTGGAAGTTCCGTGTACAAGATGGTATCTGTAGGGGGTGTCTTGGGCCTCTGAGAAGGGCGAGTGATTTTTCTCTGTGTGAAAACGCAGTGATCCAACTGTGCGTATGTCACCTCCTCAGGGTCTTGTTCATCAGAGTCCTGGAGAGAGGGAAATGCTGAGTGAGGGAGGGAAATGCTGAGTGAGGGAGGGTGCTCACGTTTTCCAGGACTGTTTGGGAATAACACTAGCCATGAGGCTGGGCCGAGGAGCACCTACCTCGCTGTTGGCTGTTCTGTTCCCTGCAGGCTCTTGGTCCATTACAGCAGCATCTGTAGGAGACGGAAGTCAACAAAAGAGCTCGGAGGGCACTTCTGGGTCCTCATTTCATAAGCAGATACCAACAAACAGGGGGAGGCCATAGGTGCCTGAGGTCCCTCAGTTGCCAACAGCAGACTCAGACATTCTATCTCTCTGAGCTCAAGGACCCATCCCATGAATAGCTCTGAGTTCCCATCCCATTGATTCTGTCTCCCACTTTCTGCCTGTCATGGAACCTTCTCCTGGATGTGAGTGGCTGCAGGGGACATGAGGATACAGTTCAGAATCAGGCAACGGTCTGTGAGCTGAAGGCAGGGGCAGGGAGTCTGGTGCTCTCTCTAGAAAGTCCTGCCTCTGTGGCTCCTGTCTTGGGCCAGGGACCATCCTGCCAGTGAGGAACACACAGCTGTGTGCTCCCATCCTGCTTCCCCACATGGCCCTGAGCTCTCTGGCCTGTGCCGCGTGAGACTTACTTTTTTTGTTGGAGCACCAGAGATGAAGGAGAAAGAAGAGGAGGAGGATGAAGAGGATGATGACCACTGAGGTCCCAATCAGAATGTGCAGGTGTCTGGGGTTACCTGGAAGAAGAGGAGACACCAGTAAGAAGCTAATCATAGCAGTTTCTCTATATGAATTGTCTTGCATTTCTTGATTGACAGGTAACCACTTACAGCATCTCTTTCGGACAAGCACCCAGATGGCGGGAGACCTAGCTTCCTCCTGCTTTCTCAGTTATAGCTCTCATAGTAACCATGGAACGTGCTGAGGATACAACTACTTTAGTTGAGATGTTTGACCCCTTCAAACCTCACATTGAAATTTAACCCCCAGTGTGGGAGGTTGGGCCTCTTGGGAGGTGTTTGGGTCATGGAGGTGGATCCATCATGAACAGATCAATGCTGTCCCAAGGAGACGGGGTTAGCAAGTTCCCTCTCTATTAGTTCCTGGAGAGCTGGTTGTTAAAAAGAGCTTGGAAGCTCCATTGCTCCCCCTCCCCCTTGCTCCCTCTCTTGCCGTGTGATCTCTGTGGTCTCTGCACAGACAGACCCTCCTTCCCTTCTGCCAGAGTGGGAGCGGCCTGAGGCCATCATAAGAAATAGATGCTGGTGCCATGCTTCCAGTACAGCCTGCAGAATGGTGAGGCAAACCAATCTCTTCTTTAGAAGTTACCCAGGCTCAAGTGTTCCTTTAGAGCAACAAAAATGGACTAAGACAGCAAAGTCCTGAGATCAGGAGGATCGTCCCAGAACAGCCTGGGCTGTCTTCCTGTTCTTCCTGGAGGAGGACGTCATGCAGTGCTTTAGCTGAGTGCTTCCTGTGGCTCCAGGGTACAAAACCCAGGCTGGGCTGCTTTCTGGCTTCCCCCAGCTACACTGCAAATGGGGTGACTCCACATGTCTCGAGCAGCTTTTCTGAGCCTTGGGGAACTGGCTCACATTGAAATGTAGGCTTCTGTTGTCACTCGCTGCTTATCTGTTAGTAATGAACCTGCCTATGTAACGTATTCTCTGTGTGTTCTGTCTCCCTGGAGTGACGGTGAGTGATAGGAATTGGCATAGGCCCAGGTGCAGTCCAGGAGGTGTTTAGAGTCTTCTCTGGGAAGACTGGACTGGGATTGATACACAGCGAATGTGCTTTAGGATTTCTACATCCACGGCATTCTTGAGTTAAACAACTTGCATTCTCCAAGAAAAGGAAACAAAAGTGAAATCAATATAAAAAAAGCGAAGTAGAATTCTCTTATGTCAAACAGCCAGAAAATAGTGTTGAAGCCCGTGTGAAATGTGCTACTCTTTGTGATCTCGGGAGACACATGTTAGGCTGCTGTTCTACCTGAGAGGCTGGGGGAAGGACCACCCCCTCGACTATCTATTGCTTCAATACCACCTGTCCTCCTGTGAATTAGTAGGAAAGGGGAGCAGGAGCTAGTGCTGTCGCTGATCTCTGATTCCAAGATCTGGACTCACTCCAAGGAGTATTAGCATTTACCTCCCCATGATCTATCTGTATCTCCACAGGTGATTGGAAGTAGGGGTGAGATGGGGGATTTGGGTGAGGGGGCAAGTTTTTTTTGTGATGACGAGAGCACTTTCTCTATTCCAGGATTTGTGCTGGAGGATTCAGCGGGCTTTCACATTTTCTATATGATCTCATGCTCACAGAAAGCCAAATACGGAAGAGGTTTTAGGCTGATTGCCTAATGGATAAGATAAAGGATCAAAGAAGTAATTATAGAGAAATAGAAAAATGATGATGGGAATTCAGGTGCCTTTGTCATTCGTGTGTGTTTTATTATATTTATGCATTTCTTATTTTTATTTTTTGAGATGGAGTCTCCTTGTGTCACCCAGGCTGGAGTGCAGTGATGCGATCTCCACTCACTGCAACCTCCATCTCCTGGGTTGAAGTCATTCTCCTGCTTCATCCTCCAGAGCAGGAGCTGGGATTACAGGGATGCACCACCATGCTCGGCTAATTTTTGTATTTTTAGGAGAGATAGGGTTTCACCATGTAGAGATAGGGTTTCACCATGTTGGCCAGGCTGGTCTCGAACTCCTGACTTCTTGGAATCCACTGGCCTTAGCCTCCTGCAGTGCTGGGTTACAGGAGTGAGCCACCGTTCACAGACTTGTATACTATGCTATAATAGGTCCCTTCATTTCCACCACCCCTCATATATCTGTCACTCCTTTGCCAGGTATTGATTTATGTGTAGGAGGAATAAATCTCAGAAAGAAATTAATTTAGCAAGGATTAAACAACTAGGAAACTCAAACCCAGCAAGCCCTCCCTGCAAATGATTCTACCTCCCAAGCATAGCTTATATCCATCTGCTTCATCCACTTAGGGTCTAAATCAGCACCACATTTCACCAGTGGGGCGGGAATTGCCTTTTCCACGGTCTCCTAGATTCCAGTTACGCACCTGGGCCTCCCTTATTTTCATGTCAGTCACTATTAATCATGTAGGGATTCCTGGTTACCCCGAGGTGAATCCAAGGGCTGTGAGTGTCAAACACACACTCCTTGTTGCTCCTTAGTTTCCTGTGTACCCAGTGTGCTCTCCGTCTCTCCACAGTCGTCTTGTCATTCTCCCCACTTCATTCCCAGCATTTGAGTCAGAGCCTCTTCCTTCAACATCAGATTGTTTTCACCTTTGTGCCTTCACAGCTGACAGCTGTGTGGAAAATCCTTCCGCCAATCTTTCAGGGGTTCAATCCGTGTTTTTCATTAATGTCACAAATATCTGATTAGTGAGACCTTCTCTGTCACCCAAAATTATACACTCAGCATTATCTATTATTTATTTTGAATTCTGGCTGGGCAAAGTGGCTCACGCCTGTAATCCCAGTACTTTGGGTTGCTGAGATGGTCGGATCACTTGAGGTTGGGAGTTTCAGACAAGCTTGGCCAATATGGTGAAACATCCTCTCTACAAAAAATATACAAAAAGAATTAGCCGGGCATGGTGGCAGTTGCCTGTAATCCCAGCTACTCGAGAGGCGGAGGCAGGAGAATCACTTGGATCCAGGAGACGCAGGTTGCAGTGAGCCAAGATCGTGACACTGCACTGTAGCCTGGAAGACAGAGGGAGACTCTGTCTCAATAAATAAATGAACGAACAAACAAATAGATTTCATACACAGATGCTTCCCAATGGATCATTCATTTATTGGTCCACTTGTGCATTCATTTTCTGCCCTCCCATTTAACCATCTGCAATATCAGTGTCCCAAGAGCAGAGGCCAAATGCATCTTGTTCACCGTTCGTGGAAGGCAGGAGAATGCTGTCCCACCCCAAAATGTCCCTGTCCTGGCCTCCATAGCTTGTGAATATGTTATTTTACATGGAAAGAAGGAATGAAGATTGCAGATGGAATTACGGTTGCTAGTCAGCTGAACTTAAAACAAGGGTATCCTGAATGATTTCCGGGAGATTATGATGGATTTTCATCTTGGTGAACCCAATAGAATCCCCAAGTTTTCAAAAGATAAGGAAGAAGGGAGAGCAGCATTCAGAGAAAGAGGTGTGGTAAGGAAGAAGGGTCTGAGTGATGCCATGTGAGATGTGACCAGCCTTTGTGGGCTTTGAGGAAGGAGGAAGGGGACCAGGAGCCAAGGAACTGGGAGCCTTTATAAGATGGGACAAGTGAGAAGCAGATTCTTGCCTGGAATCCTCAGGCAAGGGAAGGCAGCCTTGCTGTCACCTTGTTTTTAGCCCAGTGAGATGCACTTCATACTTTGAGCTACAGCACTGTAAGATAATTAAAAAGCCGCTTTGTTTTCACCCACGAATCTTGTGGAAATTTGTTATGGCAACAATAGGAAAGGATTCCAACTGCACAGCCTGAGCATGGGGCTGTGGCTGAATGAGTCAGTGAGTCGAAGTGTGCGTGCATGAGCTCTGTTCTCTATTACGGCAAGGCTCTTGCTCTGCTGAGTCAGCCAGGGTTGCTTCATGACCAACAGTAATTCATTCCTTGGCAAGTGGAACTTCTCTAAAACACCTCGCCCTCATCAGATGTTCCCTTCCCTTCCCTCTCTCAAGTCCCCAGGAATTTATCCTCCAGTTAGGAATGCAGGAAGAAAAAACACTGCATGTTTCCTGAGAAGGATGTCAGATTGGCAATCATTCTTCTAGCTTGTAGGAGGTCTCACCTGCAGGACATTAAAGGTTAAGAGACTTCGCTGAGCCCTTTGGTGGCCCTAGATCCCTTTCACTGTTGGAGTGTCTGGAGTTCAGAGATGGTGGAAGACAGGCCCTCATTCACAGAGCTGGGAGGTTTGAGCCAACACTTGCATCCAAGGCTTCCACCTCCCCAGGTTTCCAAAAGCAGAGATAAGAGGGGTCCTTTACTCACCAGATTTGGAGCTTGGTTCTGTGGGTGAAGGCCAACTACTTGAAGGGTTTCCTAGAACACGGGACAGGAGAGATGTGAGGAAATGAGGGTGCTTGTCCTCTACTCAATGGAAATCTTTGAGGTTGGTTCATGGCCAACACTCTGTTATCTAATGTTGGACCCTGGGAGTCTTGGGATCCTCTTCTCCATAATTTTTGTGTGCGATGCCCACTGTCTTGAGACTTGAAGGTATAAAGAGAAAACAGGAGCATCACACTACCTGACTTAGAAATATGTTACAGAGCTGTAGTAAGCAAAACAGCATGACATTGGCATAAAGAAAGGCACATAAAAAATGGAACAGAATGGAGAACACAGATATAATCCATGCATTTACATCCAATGGCTTTTTTTGTGTGTGTGTGTGATAGAATCTTGCTCTGTCATGCAGGCTGGAGTGCAGAGGTGCAATCTCAGCTCAATGCAACCTCCACTTCCTGGATTCAAGCAATTCTCTTGCCTCAAACACCCGAGTAGTGGTATTACAGGCACTGGTCACCATGCTCAGCTAATTTTTGTATTTTTAGTAGAGACGAGGTTTCACTCTGTTGGCCAGCCTGGTCTTGAACTCCTGGCTTCAGGTGATCCATCCGCCTCGGCCTCCCAAAGTGCTGGAATTGCAGGTGTGAGCCACCATACCCAGCCCATTTAATGGACTTTGACAAAGGTGCCGAGAACTTACAATCAGGAAAGGACAGTCTTTTCAATAAATGGTGTGGGGAAAACTGGATATCTACATGCAGAGGAATAAAACTGCATCTATACCTGTCACCTTACACAAAAATCAAATGAAAATGGATTAAAAACATGAGTCTAAGGCCTGAACCTATGAAACATGTAGAAGAAAATAATGGGGAAGACATTTGTCTGACGAAAGACATTTTGTTTAAAACCTTCAAAACACAAGTAATCAAAGCAAAAAATAGACCATTAGGATTACATCAAACCAAGCAACTTCTGCACCACAAAAGATAAACCAAGAAAGTGAAGAGACAACCGACAAAATAGGAGCAAATATTTGCAAACTATTCATCTGAGACGGGATTAATAACTGGAAATATAAGAAGCTCAAACAACTCAATAAAACAATTTAATTCAAAAAAAGAGCAAAAGACATGAGGAGACATTTCTCCACAAACAAAACATAGAAATGGCGATCACGTATATGAAAAAGTACTCGGCATCACTCATCATCAGAGAAATGTAAATTACAATCGCGATGAGTTTTCATCTCATCCCATTAAAATGCCTTTTAGGCCGGTGGCTCACGCCTGTAATTCCGGCACTTCAGGAGGCGGAGGTGGGCGGATCACCTGAGGTCGGGAGACCAGCCTGACCAACATGGAGAAACTCCCTCTCTACTAAACATACAAAAATTAGCTAGGCGTGGTGGCACATGCCTGTAATCCCAGCTACTTTGGAGGCTGAGGCAGGAGAATCAGTTGAACGCGGGAGGCGGAGGTTGCAGTGAGCTGAGATCACACCCTTGCACTCCAGCCTGGGCGACTATGAGTGAAACTCCATCTCAACATAAATAAATAAATAAAATAAAGTAAAGTAAAATGGCTTTTACTGCAAGACAGGCAAAACAAATGCTGGCAAGATGGTAGAGAAAGGAGAACCCTGGTACCCTGTTGGTAGGAATGTAAATTAGTACAACTATTATGGAGAAAAGTATGGAAATTCTTTAAAAAACTAAAAGGAGGCTGGGCATAGTGGCTTATGCCTGTAACTTCAGCACTTTGGGAAACCGAGGCAGGCACCTCACTTGAGGTCAGGAGTTTGAGAGCAGCCTGCCCAAAATTGGGATATCCCGTCTGTGCTAAAAAAGTACAAAAATTAGCCAGGCATGGTGGCGTGCACCTGTAATCACAGCTACTAGGGAGGCTGAGTCAGGACAATCATTTGAACCTAGGAGGCACAGGTTGCAATGAGCCAAGATCTCACCACTTAGACTCCAGCTTGGACTAAGGAGGGAAACTCTTTCTCAAAAAAGGAAAAAAAAAAAAGAGAACTTTCATAGTGTCCAGCAATTTCACTACTGGGTTTATATCCAAAGGAAAGGACATCAGTGTATCGAAGTGATATCTGCACTCATATGACTGTTCCAGCACTGTTCACAGTAGCCAAGATGTGGAGTCAACCTACCTGCCTATCAGTGGGTGAATGGATAGAGAACTGTAGTACACACACACGGTGGAGACTACTCATCCATAGAAACAATAACATCCTGTCATTTGCAGCCACATGGATGGAACTGGAGGTCATTACAAAGATTCCCATTTCTCACCACATGCAGGAGATAAAAGGTGGATCTCATGAAGGTGGAGAATACAATGGTGGACACCAGAGGCCAGGAAGGGAAGGGTGGAGGGTAACAAAAAAAAGAATATAGATGTATTTATTTATTTAGAAACAGAGTCTCTCTCTGTCTCCCAGGCTGCAGTGCAGTGGCATGATCTCGGCTCAGTGCAACCTCTGCCTCCTGGCTTTAAGTGCTTCTCCTGCCTCAGCCTCCCAAGTAGCTAGGACTACAGGTGCATGCCGGCATGCTCGGCTAATTTTTCTTGTCTGTTTAGTAAAGATGAATTTCCCACATGTTGGCCAGGGTGATCTCGAGTTCCTGATCTTAAATGATCCACCTTCCTTGGCCTCTCAAAGCGCCGAGATTACAACCGTGAACCACCACACCCAGCATATAAAGGTATTTATGACCACTAGATTTTACTTTTAAAAATGGTAAAGGTGGTAAATTATATAGTTACATTTAACCTCAATAAATATTTTTGAAAATGAAAAGAAAAGGGTGTAGGGGTTGCTGGTGATGACATCTCTCTGTGTGGGTGAGAGGCCATGATGGGCTTCTGGGAAATGGATAAGATTGAGGGGCTGAGGGAACCTCTGATCTCCCGAAACTAAGCCCAGTCTCCCCTTCTCTGGGTCTGTCCTGACCGCTTTCTCCATCTGCCTGGGTGCCTGGAGCCCTGATCGGAGGCCTCCATGCAGGCCATGAAGGAGGGTTTGGAGGTGCCCTGTCTGCCATCCTGCGCCCTGACTCCGCCCTCACACCTGCTGTGTCTTCTCTCTGCATCTGTCCATGCTTTTCTCCATCATCAGCAGGAAGCTCCTTAGCTAAGGATTTAGGATCATAGGACATGAGAGAGATATGGGCTTTTCTCACCTGTGACAGAAACAAGCAGTGGGTCACTCGGGTCTGACAACTCGTAGGGAGAGTGACGGAAAGAGCCAAAGCATCTGTAGGTCCCTCCGTGGGTGGCAGGGCCCAGAGGGAAATCTGCCTGGAATGTTCTGTTGACCTTGCGCACTGCAGGGAGCCTACGTTCATGGGCTCCCCCCTCCCTGGATAGATGGTACATGTCATAGGAGCTCCGGGAGCTACAGGACAAGGTCACGCTCTCTCCTGCCTGAACCTTGGGGCCCGGCTGGGCTGAGAGAGAAGGTTTCTCATATGGACCTGGAAGGAGAAGAGGCAGTTTCCTCAGGGAGGTTCTTCCTTGTCATAGCTCCCCTCATACCTGAGCTGAGAACTCACTCCCCTGCTCTATGACCTAATGCTCTCTCTCTCTCTCTCACCCTCCACCCCATCTCTCTTCATATCTGTTTCCTCCTTCTACCTTTTCTGTCTCTCTAGGTCTATGACCTCAATTCCCCACCCTGAGGTATGTTTTCCCTTTTTGGATTGTTTTATTCTCTCTGACCCTCCTTGGATTGGTTGACTTGATCTTCCTTTTTCTTTAATTTTGAGTCTCTCACTTTCTGTCTTGTTCATAACTTTCTGCACATTTCTATCTATTAATCTATTTTGTGTCTATCTACAAATTATCTATCATCTATATTTATGTATCACTTATCTATCTCTCTATCAATTGTCTGTCTGTCTATCTATCCATCAATCATCTATTATCTATATATGTATCATCTATCTCTCTCTCTATTACCTCTCTGTCTGCCTCTCTGTCTCTATTTATGTATCATCTATGTATATATCTATGTGTCTATCATCATCATCGTCATCTCTATGTATCATCTATCAGTCATCATCTATGTATCTATAACCAATCCATTATCTATCATCTACCTATTTATCATCTATCTACGTCTATCTATCCATCTATCATCTCTCTCTCTCCGTCTCCTTGTCTTTCTCTGCCTCTCAGTCTCTCTAGTTCTATTTGGAATCTCTGCAATCCATCCCCACATATTTATCTTTCTCTGTCTTTGTGTCCCTCCCTCAGGGTTCTGATTTTGGGGCTTTTCTCTCCTCCTTTCCATCATTCTCTCCACTCTGCCCTCTTTTCTTTCTTTTTATGTGTCTGTGAATCTCTTAATCTCCTTCTTCTGGCTCATTTTGTGTGTGTTTATGTCTTTGCTTTTTGGTGTCCCTGATTTTTCTCTGTGTCTCTCAGCGATCCTATCATATGTGGGATTATTTGGAATATGAGCCTCAGAATCCAGTCTGGGGACCCCAAGTTCACACAGCATACAGGGGTTGGTGTTCAGGGGCCATGATATCCTGGGATGATTACTCTCCATTGCATGGAAGGCAGAGGTGTCAGAATAAACACGGCATCTGTAGGTGGCACAAGGCCTGAGGCCACAGGGCCCAACTCAGGTCAGAAATATGGGTGTCCTTGGGTTCTTCTGGTAGGAACACTTTGTGGAGGTAAAACAGAAATGAAACTTCTAACCTGTGCCAGGTCTCTGAGCAAAGTCAGCATGGAAGGACACCTCTCTCTGGGACATGTCTGTCTGTCTGAGTGTCTCCTTTACCTCTTTCTCTCTTTTCTACCTCCCTGTATGGCCCCTGTGTCTGTCCTCTGTTATGACAACTGTTCTGTACTTATGTCTCCTGTTTCTCTGTCTCTGTTGGTACAGACCTCACCAAGTCACTCTCTTTCCGTAAGAATCCCACACTTATCTTCCTCATGACCACCTGGGGGTTCCAAGTCCTGGATCATTCACTCTGTGTCCCAGTGACAATGAGAACAATGTCTAGACACTCTCACCTGTGACCACGATGTCCAGGGGATCACTGGGAGCTGACAACTGATAGGAGGTGTGAGTAACAGAACCGTAGCATCTGTAGGTCCCTGCAAGGGCAAGCATCATGGGACCGATGGAGAAATTGGCCTTGGAGACCCCATCATGGATCTGTCCAACGAGGCGTGAGGGGTCCTTAGAGATCCCCTCTTTGTGCAGAAAGAAGTGCTCAAACATGATATCTGACCAACATTGCAGGATGACTCTCTCTCCTGATTTCACCAGGGGACCTGGGTGGGCCAGGAGGGAAGGTTTTCTGTGGTTTCCTAGAAAGAGAAGTTGTGAGTTTAGAAGGCATCTCTCTTTATCATCCCATCCATGGCACCTGGAATGAGTGAGGGTTCCCCTCCCCGTGTCTGTCTCTCTCCTCCCTCTCTGCATCTCCGTGTCTTTTCTGTGCCCATATCCCCTGGTGCAGGTGCCTCCATCTGTCTTCCTCCCTCTTCTCTGTCCCTCTGTCTCCAGTAGCCCCTGACTCCCTTGCCACTGTGAAGACAGCCTCATCTCTTGGGCTGTTGTATCTGTTTCCCACTAATCTCTTTCCTGCTGTCTATGTGGGGGTGGAAGAGGACAGGCTGCATGTCCAGGCTCTTAGCAGCCTGAATCAATCTCTTTTGAACAAATCCCCAGTTCAAGTGATTCTCTTGCCTCAGCCTCCCCAGTCGTTGGATTACTCGCGCCCACCACCACATCTGGCTATCCTTGTTTGGTTTCCTAACTTGTCCTTGACCTGGGTTCCTGTGTTGGTTTCCTGTTGCTGCTGCAGAAAATTACCACAAACATGGCAGCGGGAGAGAACACACTGACCCCTTCCACTTCTGGAGACAGAAATTGGATCCAGTTCTCCCTGTGCTGAAATCAAGGTGTCTACAGGGCTGCGTTCCCTCTGGAGAATCAGCGAATCAGTTCTCTTGACTTCTCCAGCCCTTAGAGGCCACCTGCATTCTGTGACTAGTGGTCTTTCTCCACCTTCAAAGCCCGCAGTGGCTGATAGCGTCTCCCTCCCACTACACTGCTCTAATCCCCACTCCCCTCTTCCTCCACCTCTCATGTGGACCCTTGTGATTACACTGAGCCCAGTGGGACAGTCCAGGCTGTCTCCCCATCTGAAGGTCAACTCATCAACAACCTGAGCTCCACCTTCCCCTTCAGTCCCCTGCCCTGTAACATAAATAGTCACAGGCTCCAGGGATTACAATGTAGCCATCATTGGGGACAGTGATTCTTCCCACCACAGCACCCATTTCCCCTGTATTCAATCTCCCTTGACCCCAAATACAGTCAGGGCCTGGGTGATGGGACCCTGACGGACACCCCCACCAGAAGCTCTGGGATTCAGGAGGTGGGACAGTGAGAAGCCCAGACGGAAAGCCTCTGACCTGTGACCATGATCACCACGGGGTTGCTGGGTGCCGACCACCCAGTGGGGGAGTGTGGGTGTGAACCCCGACATGTGTAGTTCCCTGCATGTGCTGTGGTCACAGGGCTCATGTTGAAGCTCTCCTGGAATATTCTGCCATGGAAGATGGGAATGTGGATTCTGTCTTCTTTGTATAGCATGAAATTGTTAAACCTATGACGATAGTGACACCGAAGAGTCACGTGTCCTCCTCGAGGCACCACAGCGCTGGGCCAGGCAGACAGGAAGGGTTTGTCCTGACCACCTGGGGGAGAAGGAGGCACTGCCTTAGAGAGGAGGATGTGGAGCCGCCCCTCACTCCCAGTGCCCAGAAGATTCTCCCCATTTCCACTTTCTAAGGCTCCTACCACACCTGGGTGCCCAGGGCTACAGGAAGGACCCATCCTGCATAGACTTGGCGTCTCCCTACAACAAGTGTCAGCTGAGAACTTTGAGCAAGTTGCTGGAGAAGCAACTCTTACTAGATTTTAATACTGCAAAATTACTCATATAAAACAACACAAAGTAGACACGGCATGGAGGGCAAGTCCTATGTGAATGGAATATCAGCCAATTGATGAACTGAGCCCCCATCAGAGGATTTGGAATGTCAGGGCCATGGCTGTGGTTTCCTCACCTTTTCTGGTAGAAAGACCGCAGCCACACTGCAGCCCCTACCATCACGGAAACGCTGGAGGGTGTGAGTTACACCTTTGTCCTCAGAGGACCTGCTGTTCCTAGCACTGCTTCCCTCTCTTTCTCTGCTGCTGACACCACTTCCTCCCTGCACACCCATCTTGGAGCACCCTAGTCTCACCCCAGTCTTCACAGAGCTTGACTCAGGAAAGGGAATGAAAGGCCGGGGAAGGCAAGGTCAGAAATGTGGGCCGAGCATCCGAGGGTCCCCTCTTCCTAGTGTATGAGAGACTCCCCGACAGGACTTCCCTCCCATTTCAGGAAAATCCTCTTATGTGGGGAGATGACACCCTAAGGTTTGGGGAAGGACTCACCCATGTGTGGACCGGCCCTCTGGACCAAGAACAACCCTAGAAAGAAAGATCATGATGGACCATCCATCTGCAGGCAAACCAGGGCACCCTGCTGCCCCCACTGGGCTGTGCGTCTTGGCAGCCAGGCCCTTGCTGGGCTGAAGGTAAACTCACCCTCGCTGCCTACCTGCCCCCAGGAACAAGGATCTCGGCTGTGCAGAGACTGAGCCTCCAGGCCCAGATCTCTACCTCCAGGCCTAGATCTACACAACAGGCCCAGATCTCCACTCCAGGTCCGTATCTCCACTCCAGGCCCATATCTCCTCTCCAGGCTGGTAAGTCCACTCCAGGCCCATATCTCCACTCCAGGCTCCTATCTCAACTCCAGGCCCATATCTCCTCTCCAGGCTGGTAAGTCCACTCCAGGCCCATATTTCCACTCCAGGCTTCTATCTCCTCTCCAGGCCCATATCTCCTTTCCAGGCTTGTATGTCTGCTCCAGGCCCGTATCTCCACCCCAGGCCCATATCTCCACTCCAGGATCATATCTCCACTCCAGGCCCAGATCTCCACTTCATGCCCTTAACTCCACCTCCGGGCCCATAACTCCACCTCTAGGCCCATATCTCCACTCCAGGCCCATATCTCCACTTCAGGCCCATATCTCTACTGCAGGCCCATAACTCCACCTCCAGGCCCATATCTCCACTCCAGGCCCATCGCTCCACTTCTAGGCCCATCACTCCACCTCTAGGCCCACATCTCCCCTCCAGGCCCATATCTCCCCTCCAGGCCCATCTCTCCACCCCAGGCACATATCTCCACCCCAGGCCCATATCTCCACTCCAGGCCCAGATCTCCACTCCAGGCACATATCTCCACCCCAGGCCCCTATCTCCACTCCAGGCCCAGATCTCCACTCCAGGCCCAGATCTCCACTTCAGGCCCATAACTCCACCTCTAGGCCCATAACTCCACCTCTAGGCCCATATCTTTACCTCCAGGTCCAGATCTCCATCCCCTCACTCCCTCCCTCGATTCCCTTCCAGGACTCACCAACACACGCCATGCTGACGACCATGAGCGACATGGTGCTGCCGGTGCAGACAGGCGGCTGCGCCCCA
Source organism: Homo sapiens (assembly GCF_000001405.40). Taxonomy (NCBI): domain Eukaryota; kingdom Metazoa; phylum Chordata; class Mammalia; order Primates; family Hominidae; genus Homo; species Homo sapiens. The sequence goes on along the minus strand of NW_016107307.1, from coordinate 118,065 downwards.
GCTCAGCTCAGCAGCGCACAGGATGTTATTCGGCGCCCTGCCCATGCAGTTTACATGTTGACCACATCATGGGAGGGTGACGTACGCAGGCTCTTTCTACCTTGCATGAGGCCCAGTGGGTGCTCGCTCAAGAGCGGAACATGGCTTCCTGGAAATTGCTCTCACTAGAATTGACACCTCGCGTCCTTCACTATGACCAACTCAAAACACGTCTCAGATCCAACCTCCCGAACATGAGATGCCTAAAATCTGTGCTAACATGAAAGACTTTTCATGTATTTTTATTGTTTTTATCTGAGATTCAAACTCTTCTTCCTGTGTAATATGCAAAATATCTAATAGGTATTATTAAGGTTTTCAGAGCAATTGTGACAATAAACCATTAGAATTTTTCATGATTGTATTTCTAGTATTACAGCAGAACCAGTTCAAATGATTTAAACTCCCAGGGAAGGATTATGCAATTATTTACAATCTTAGAATTGTACTTTATCAGCAAAAATCACAACATGTAAATTCTGGATTTTTGTAGATTTATCTAGAATTTGTCTCATGTCCCAAGATTCCAGAGTTCCAACTCATGGTTTGCTCTCTCTCTGTCTCTCTGCCTCCCTCATTTTAAATTTTACAGAAATATCCAGTAACATAATGCTATAGAAAATCAATTTCCCCAGCACTTTGGAAGCCGAGGTGAGTGATCAACCGAGGTCAGGAGTTTGAGACCAGCCTGGCCAATATAGTGAAACCATGTCTCTGCTAAAAATACAAAAATTAGCCATGCCTGGTAGCAGGCACTTGTAATGCCAGCTATTCAAGAGGCTGAGGCACGGAATCCCTTGAACCTGGGAGGCGGAAGTTGCAGTGAGCCGAGATCGTGCCACTGCACTCCAGCCTGGGCAACAGAGCGAGACTCTGCCTCAAGAAAAATAAAAAAAGCATAGCAAATAGCCTATAATAAATAACTAGAGGACTCCAGCTACCAAATTTTAGGGGTTGTATAAGGCTGCATAAAATGCAGCATTCTCAAGAGAGTGGACAGAGAGAGAGCCACTGAGCAGAAAACAGTGTCTAAAATACATCCGTGTACACACAGTCCCTTTATAGTTGACAAAGGCTGCCATGTGGTTTAAGGTGGAATAGAATGTCTTCTCAATAAATAACATGGGCCCAAGGGTTACACATAGAGAAAAATATATCTAAACGTATTCTCACACTATAAAACACTTGTTTATTTTATCTTGTTATTGTAATTTTTTTATGTTTTATATTTAAAATTGAGAAATAAAAATTATATACAGTCATCCCTCACTATTCGTGGGTGATTGGTTTCAGGATCTCCACTCAGATAGCACAATCTGCAGACGCTCAAGCCTCTTACATGAAATGGCACAGCATTTGCAAATAACCCATGCACATCCTCCTGTGTACATGAAATCATCCCTTGATTATTTATAATTCCTGATACAGCCTACACACAGCTTCATTTGTGTCCATTCAACATAGTTTTGCTTTTTGAAACTTTGTGGATTTTTTCTCTGAATATTTTTGATTTATATTTGGTTCAATAAACACCTGTAAATCCCACAGATACAGAGGACCGACTGTATATTTATAGTATGAAAGATGATGTGTTGATATGTGTCCCCGTGGAGATGAGACTAACAAGGCCTATGACTCTACAAATGTTTCATCATGGAATGACTCTGCCAGCTTTCCAGGTCTGCAGAGAGTAAGAATATCACTTGTTCATGTGATTCACGATCCTTGGAACCTCTTATGTGCTGCATCTTTGGATGGAAATTGGAGTCTCAGAGACAAATCAGGCTCCACCCTGCTTCCAGAAGCTCCGAGTCCAGGGGTGAGAACCCAGTGGAGAACAGTTGGAGTTATTTGGACATGGTAATGATAACACTGGAAACTTTCAGCCAAAAAAAGAGTCACCTAAAGAATGAAGGCAGACATGTTTATTTGAAGAGGAGAGAACTACACTGAAATCAAAAAAATTTTATAAGGTTTGCTGATGCCAGAAGGCTGAAAAATAGTCTGAGGAAAGGTGGAACAGCACGAGGGAAGGTGGAACAGCACGTGTCTAAGTGCCGTGTTAAGAGAGAGCCTCTTGTATGTTTGGAATTGTGAGTTCCTCAGTGTGATTGCAGCCTCAAGTAGACTAGGAAGTAAGCCAGTTAGGTTGGAGAGGTGGGCAGGGGTCAAGTGAAATAGAGAATTGTGGGCTAAGCAAAGGAGTGTGTTTTCTCTGCAGCAGGCAGTGGGGACCTTAGACATTGGTAAGCAAGAGACAGGCACCAGATTTGTGGTGTGAGGAAGAGTGATGCTCTAAGATGGAGACTCACGCCTTCAGATTCCAGCTGCTGGTACATTAGAGCTGGCAAGCTGGGTTTGAGACAGGGCTGTTGTCTCCCTAGAAGATCCCATCAAGGCCTGACTGTGGTGCTCATGGGCAGGAGACAACGCTCTGGGCTCAGCATTTGGAAGTTCTATACACACGCTGGTATCTGTTGAGGGTCTCTTGCTCCTCTGAGAAGGGCCAGTGATTTTTCTCTGTGTGAAAATGCAGTGATCCAACTGTGCGTATGTCACCTCCTGAGGGTCTTGTTCATCAGAGTCCTGGAGAGAGGGAAATCCTGAGTGAGGGAGGGTGTTCACATTTTTCAGGACTATTTCGGAATAAGACTGTATCCATGAGGCTGGGCTAGGAGGACCTACCTCCCTGTTCACTGTTCTGTGTCCCGCAGGCTCTTGGTTCATTACAGCAGCATCTGTAGGAGACGGAAGCAATCAAAACAGCTGGGAGGGCACTTCTGGGTCCTCATTTCATGAACAGATACCAACACACAGGGGGAGGCCATAGGTGCCTGAGGTCCCTCAGCTGCCAACAGCCAGACTCAGACATTCCATCTCTCTGAGTGCAAGACCCCATTCCATGAATAGCTGTCAGTTCCCATCCCATTGATTCTATCTCCCACTTTCTGCCTGTCATGGAATCTTCTCCTGGATGTGAGTGGCTGCAGGGGACGTGAGGATACAGTTCACAATCAGGCAACGGTCTGTGAGCTGAAGGCAGGGGCAGGGTGTCTGGTGCTCTCTCTAGAAAGCTCTGCCTCTGGCTCCTGCCTTGGGCCAGAGACTTTCCTGCCAGTGAGGAACACACACCTGCGTGCTCCCATCCTGCTTCCGCACAGGGCCCTGAGTTCTCTGGCCTCTGCTTCGTGAGGCTTACTTTTTTTTTGGAGCACCAGCGATGAAGGAGAAAGAAGGGAAGGATGGTAAAGAGGATGATGGCCACTGAGTACCTAATCACAGCATGCAGGTGTCTGGCGATACCTGGAGGAAGATGGGAATCCAATAAGAAGCTAACCATAGCAGTTCCTCTTTGTGGATTGTCTCTCATTTCTTGGTTGCCAGGCAACCACATAAAACACCTCTTTAAGACAAGCACCCACGAGGCGGGAGACCCAGCTTTCTCCTGCTTTCTCCGTTATAGTTTTCATAATAACAATAGAATGTGCTGATGATACAACTGCTATTGTTTCAATGTTTGACCCCTCCAAACCCCACTTTGAAATTTAATCCCCAGTGTGGGAGGTTGTGCCTATTGGGAGGGGTGTTTTGGTCATGGGGGTGGATCCATCATGAATAGATTAATGCTGTCCCCAGAGGACGGGGTTAGCAAGTTCTCCCTCTATTAGTACCCTGGAGAGTTGATTCTTAAAAAGAGCTTGGAAGCTCCATCACACCCCCTTTCTCCCTCTCTTGCCATGTGATCTCTGTGGTCTCTGCACACGCAGGACCCCCTTCTCTTCTGTCAGTGTGGGAGCAGCCTGAGGCCGCAGCCAGAAATAGATGGTAGTGTCCTGCTTCTAGTACAGCGTGCAGATCAGTGAGCCAAACACATCTCTTTTCTTTAGAAGATACCCAGGCTCAAGTGTTCTTTTATAGCAACAAAAATAGGCTAAGACAGCAACATCCTGAGATCAGGAGGAACGTCTCAGAACAGCCTGGGCTGTCTTCCTGTTCTTCCTGGAGGAGAACATCATGCAGTGCTTTAGCTGAGTGTTCCCTGTGGCTCCAGGGTACAAAACCCAGGCTGGGCTGCTTTCTGGCTTCCCCCAGCTACAGTGCACATGAAGTGACTCCATGTGTCCTGAGCAGTTTTTCTGAGCCTTGAGGGACTGGCTCACCCTGAAAGGAAGGTTTCTGTTGTCACTCGCTGCTTATCTATAAGTAATGAACCTGCCTATGTAATGTATTCCCTGTGTGTTCTGTCTCCCTGGAGTGATGGTGAGTGATAGAAATTGGCACAGCCCCAGGTGCAGTATGGGAGGTGTTTAGAGTCTTCTCTGGGAAGACTGGACTGGGATTGATACACAGTGAATGTGCTTTACAGTTTCTACATCCACAACCCTCTTGACTCAAACAAATTACATTCTCCAAGAAAAGGAAAAAACAGTGACATTGAAATCAACATAAGTGAGGTTGAGCTGTCTTATATCAAACAGCCAGGAAATAATGATGAAGCTCGTGGGCAACATGCTACTTTTGTCATCTTGGGAGTCAGATATTAGGCTGCTGTTCCACCCGAGAGTCTGGGGGAAAGACCACCCCCTCCATCATCTGTTGCTTCAATACAGCCTGTCTTTCTGTGAATTACTCCAAAAGGTGACCAGGAGATAGTGCTGGCACTGGTCTCTGAGTCTACGATCTGAACTCCAAAGAATATTAGTTTTTACCTCCCCATGATCTATCTGTATCATTAATGTGATTGGAAGTAGGGGTGAGGTGGGGGATTTGGGTGAAGGGGCAAGTTTTGTGCCATGAACAGATCACGTTCTCTATTCCAGGACCTGTGCTGGTGGGTTTCACATTTTCCATATGATCTCATGCTCACAGAAAGCCAAATAAGGAAGATGTTTTCGCCTGATTTTCTTACGGATAGGATAAAGGATCAAAGAAGTCATTATAGAGAAATAGAAAAATGATGATTGGAATTGGTGTGCCTTTGTCATTCGTGTATGTTATATTATATTTATGTATTCTTTATTTTTATTTTTTGCCATGGAGTCTCACTCTGTCACCTAGGGTGCAGTGCAATGACGCGATCTTGGCTCACTGTAACCTCTCCCTCCCTGGTTGAAGCCATTCTCCTTCTTCAACTTCCCGAATAGCTGGTATTACAGGCACGCGCCACCACCCCCAGCTAGTTTTTGTATATTTAGTAGAGATGGGGTTTCACCATGTTGTCCAGGCTGATCTCGAACTCCTGATCTCACTTGATCCAGCCTCCTCAGCCTCCCAAAATGTTGGGTTACAGGTGTGAGCCACCGTTCAGAACCTTGTGTGTTATATTATAATAGGTCTCTTCCTTTGCACCACCCCTCATGTATCTCTCACTCCTCTGCCAAGTATTGATTTACATGTAGGAAAAATAAATCTCAGAAAGAAATCAATGAAGTGAAGATTAAACAATTAGGAAAAATCAAACCAGGCAAGCCCTCCCTGCAAATTACTCTACCTCACAAACACATCTTGTGTCCATCTTTCATTCATTTAGTGTCTAAATCAGCACCACATTTCACCAGGGGGGCGGGAATTGCCTTTTCCACAGTCTCCTAGATTCCAGTTATGCACCTGGGCCTCCCTTATTTTCATGTCAGTCACTATTCATCATGTAGGGATTCCCAGTTAGCCCCGAGGTAAGTCCAATGGCTGTGAGTATCAAACACACGCTCCTTGTTCCTCCTTAGTTTCCTGTGTACCCAGAGTGCTCTCTGTCTCTCCACAGTCGTCTTGTCATTCTCCCCATGTCATTCCCAGCATTTCAGGCAGAGCCTCTTCCTTCCACATAACATTGTTTTCACCTTTGTGCCTTCACGGCTGACAGCTGTGTGGAAAATCCTTCCGCCAATCTTCCAGGGGTTGATCTATTTTTTTCATTAAGGTCACAAGTATTATTTGATCAGTGAGAACTTCTCTGTCACCCGAAATTATACACTCAGCATTATCTATTATTTCTTTTAAAATACGGCTCGGCGCCTTGGCTCACGCCTCTAATCTCAGCACTTTGGGAGGCTGAGACGGGCGGATCCCTTAAGGTTGGGAGTTTGAGATAGCCTGGGCAACATGGTAAAACCTTGTCTGTACTAAAAAAAAATACCAAAAAAAAATTAGCCAGGCGTGGTGGGACATGGGTGTAATCCCAGCCTCTCGGGAAGCTGAGTGTAGAGAATCGCTTTAACCTGGGAGGTGGAGGTTGCGGTGAGCCGAGATCCCGCCACTGCACTCCAGCCTGGGGCACAGAGGGAGACACCGTCTCATAAAAACAACCAATCAATCAATCATTCTCATGCACAGATGCTTCCCAATGGATCATTCATTTATTGGTCCACTGGTGCATTCATTTTCTGCCCTCCCATTTAATCCTTTGCAATATCAGTGTCCAAGAGCAGAGGCCAAATGCACCTTGTTTACCATTTGTGGAAAGGATAAGAATGCCGCCCCACCCCAAAATGTTCCTGTCCTAGTCGCCATATCTTGTGAATATGTTATTTTACATGGAAAAAAGGAATGCAGATTGCAGATGGAATTACGGTTGCTAATCAGCTAACCTTAAAAGGAGGGTATCCTAGATGATTTTAGGGAAATTATGATGGATTATCTTGGTGTTTCCAATAGAATGCCAAAGTCCTTAAAAGATGAGGAAGAAGGCAGAGCAGCATTCAGAGAAAGAGGTGTGGACAAGGAAGAAGGGTCTGAGTGATGCCGTGTGAGAGGCGTGACCAGCCTTTGTGGACTTTGAGGGAGGAAGACGGGGACCAGGAGCCAAGGAATGTGGGAGCCTCTAGGAGCTGGGAAAAGTGAGGAAGCAGATTCTTGCCTGGAACATTCAGAGGGAAGGCAGCCTTGCTGTCACCTTGATTTTAGCCCAGTGAGATGATGCATTTCATACTTCTGAGCTACAGCACCATGAGATATTTTTTAAAAATGTGGTTTCCATCCACGAAGCTTGTGGAAATTTGTTATGGCAACATAGGAAAAGGTTCCACACTGCACAGTCTGAGCATGGGGCAGTGGCTGAACGAGTAAGTGGAAGTGTCATGTGCACGGATGAACTACGTTCTCTCTTACTGCAAAGCTCTTGTTCCACTAAGTCAACCAGGGTTGGATCATGACAGACAGGAGCTCATTCCTTGGCAAGTAGAACTTCTCTACAAATACACCACCCTCAAAAATGTTCCCCGTCCTTCCCCTTCTCAAGCCCCCAGGCATTTGTCCTCCCAGTTAGGAATGCAGGCAGAACAAACACAGCATTTTTCCTGAGAAGAATGTCTGATTTGCACTCATCCTTCTACCCTGAGGTCTCAGCAGCAGAAAATTAGAGATTAAGAGATTTCACTGAGCCCTGTGCTGGGCCCAGATCCCTTTCGCTGTTGGAGTGTCTGGGGTTCAGAGACAATGGAAGACAGGCCCACAATCACAGAGCTGGCAGGTGCTGAGCCAACGCTTGAATCCAAGGCTTCTACCTCCCCAGGTTTCCAAAAGCAGAGATAAGAGGGGTCCTTCACTTACCAGTTTTGAAGCTTGGTTCAGTGGGTGAAGGCCAACTACTAGAAGGGTTTCCTAGAACATGGGACAGGAGAGAGGTGTGGCAATGAGGATGCCTGTCTTCTACTCAATGGAAATCTTTGAGGTTGGTTCATGGCCAACATTCTATTATCTAATGTTGGGCCCTGGGAGTCCTGGCATCCCATTCTCCATAATCATTGTAGGTGACACCAACTATCTTGAGACTTCAAGGTATAAGGAGAAAACAGGAGCATCACACTACCTGACTTAAAAATATGTTACAGAGCTGTAGTAAACAAAACAACATGACATTGGCATAAAGAAAAGCACATAAAACAATGGAGCAGAATGAAGAACACGGATGTAATCCACCCATTTACATCCAATGGACTTTGACAAAGGTTCGAAGAATCTACAATCTGGAAAGGACAGTCATTTCAATAAATGGTGCAGGGAAAACTGGATATCTACATGCAGAGGGATGAAACTGCACCTCTACCTCTCACCATACACAAAAATCAGATGAAAATGGATTAATGACTTAAGACCTGAATCCATTAAATGTCTAAAAGGAAACACTGGAGAAATGCTCCAGGACATTTGTCTGAGGGAAGACATTTTGTTTAAAACCTCAAAAACACAAGTAATCACAACAACAACAAAAAAATAGACCATTGGGATTATATCAAATCAAGCAGCTTCTGCACCGCAAAGGAAGCAACCAATGAAGTGAAGAAGAGACAACCCACAGAATGGGAGCAAATATTTGCAAACTATGCATCTGAGATGGGATTAATAACTAGAATATAAAAGAAGCTCAAACACCTCAATAAAACTAATAATTTAATTATAAAATTAGTAAAAGACCTGAACAGACATTTCTCAATGAACAAAACATACAAATGAACATATATACATTGCATATATGAAAAAGTGCTCAGTATCACTAATCATCAGAGAAATGCAAATGAAGTCACAATGAGCTATCATCTCACCCCATTACAATGGGTTTTATCTCAGAGACAGACAAAACAAATGTTGGCAAGGTGGTGGAGAAAGGAGAACCCTGATACACTGTTGATAGGAATGTAAATTAATACAGCCATTACAGAGGAGAAGAATATGGAAGTTCCTTAAAAACTAAAAAGAGATTAGGCACTGTGGCTCACGCTTGTAATCCCAGCACCTTGGGAGGCTGAAGTGGGCAGATCACTGGAGGTCAAGAGTTCGAGACCAGCCTGGCTAACATGGTGAAACCCCGTCTCTACTAAAAATACAAAAATCAGCCAGGCGTGGTGGCGGGCACCAGTAATCCCAACTACTCGGGAGGCTGAGGCTGGAGAATCACTTGAATCCTGGAGGTAGAGGTTGCAGTGAGCCCAGGTGGTGCCATTGCACTCCAGCTTGGGCAACAAGAGTGAAACGCTATGTCAAAAAAACAAAAAGCATAAAACAAAACCTAAAAAGAGAACATCCAGAGGATCTAGCAATTCCACTAGTGGGTGTAAATGCAAAGAAAAGGACTTCAGTGTATTGAAGTGACATCTGCACTCCCATGACTGTTCCAGCACTGTTCACAGTAGCCAAGATGTGGAGTCAACCTACCTGCCCATCAGTGGATGAATGGATAGAGAGAATGTAGTACATACACACAATGGAGACAACTCATCCATACAAAGAGAAACGTCCTGTCATTTGCAGCCACATGGATGGACTGGAGGTCATTACAAGGATTGCCATTTCTTACTCACATGCAGGATGTAAAAGGTGGACCTCATGAAGGTAGAGAGTAGAATGGTGGATACCAGAGGTTAGGAAGGAAGGGGTGGAGGGTAACAAAAGAAGAATATAAAAGTATTTATTTATTTATTTAGAGACAGAGTCTCTCTGTGTCACCAGGCTGCAGTGCAGTGGCATGATCTCAGCTCACTGCAACCTCCTCCTCCTGGGTTTAAGCCACTCTCCCGCCTCAGCCTCCCAAGTTGCTGGGATTATAGGCGCCTGGCACCATGCCTGGCTAATTTTATTTTTTTTGTCTTTTTAGTAAAGATTGGTTCCCCCATGTTGGCCAGGCTGGTCTCCAGCCCCTGATTTTAAATGATCCACCTGCCTTGGCGTCTCAAAATGCTGAGATTACAGGCGTGAGCCACTGCACACAGCATATAAAGGTATTTATGATCCCTAGATTTTACACTTAAAAATGGTAAAGTTGATAAATTATATAGGTATATTTAACCTCAATCAGCATTTTTTCAAAGGAAAAGAAAAAGTGTAGGGGTTGCTGGTGATGACATCTCTGTGTAGGTGAGAGGCCAGGGTGGGCTTCTGGGAAATGGGTAAGGTTGAGGGGCTGAGGGAACCTCTGATCTCCCCAAACTGAGCCCAGTCTCCCTCCTCTGGGTCTGTCCTGACCACTTTCTCCATCTGCCTGGGTACCCGGAGCCCTTACTGCAAGCTTCCATGCAGGCCATGCAGGAGGGTTTGGAGGTGCCCTGTCTGCCATCCTGTGCCCTGATCCCACCCTCACACCATGCTGCATCTTCTCTCCACATCTGTCCATGCTTCTCTCCATCATCAGCAGGAAGCTCCTCAGCTAAGGCTCTAGGACCATAGGACATGGGACAGACATTGGCTTTCCTCACCTGTGACAGAAACAGGCAGTGGGTCACTCGGGTCTGACCACTCGTAGGGAGATCCATGGAAAGAGCCGAAGCATCTGTAGGTCTCTCCGTGGGTGGCAGGACCCAGAGGGAAGTCGGCCTGGAATGTTCCATTGATGCTGGGCACTGCAGGGAGCCTAAGTTCATGGGCTTCCCCCTCCCTGGATAGATGGTAGATGTCAAAGGAGCTCTGGGAGCTGCAGGACAAGGTCACGTTCTCTCCTGCGCGAACCGTGGGGCCCGGCCGGGCTGTAAGCGAAGGTTTCTCATATAGACCTGGAAGGAGAAGAGGCAGTTTCCTCAGGGAGGTTCTTCCTTGTCACAGCTCCCCTCCCACCTGAGCTGAGAACTCACTGCCCTGCTCTATGGCCTAGTGCTCTCTCTCTCTCTCTCTCTCTCACCCTCCACCCCCAACTCTTCCTGTCGATCCCTCCCTATGTGGTTCCAGCCTGGTGGTGGCATCAGCAGTGCACCCTTGCTGATCTCAGGGTAGCCAACCTTCTTGTTTGGTTTTTTAACTTGTCCTTCACCTGGGTTCCTGTGTTGGTTTCCTGTTGTTGCTGGAGAAAATTATCACAAACATGGCGGCAGGAGAGAACACACTGACCCCTTCCACTTCTGGAGACAGAAATCAGACCCTGTTCTTCCTGGGCTACAATCAAGGCATCTGCAGGGCTGCATTCCCTCTGGAGACTCGGGAGAATCAGTTCCATTGATTTCTCCAGCCCCTTCGTGGCTCGTGGTCTTCCTCCACCTTCAAAGCCCACAGTGGCTGGTGGAGTATCCCACGATGCTGCTCTAATCCCCATTCTCCTCTTCCTTCTCCACTCATATGGACCCTTGTGATTACACTGAGCCCAGTGGGAGGGTCCAGGCCATCTCCCCATCTCAAGGTCAACTCATCAACAACCTGAGCTCCATCTTCCCCTTCAGTCCCCTGCCCTATAACATAGTCACAGGCTCCAAGGATTACAATGTGGCCATCGATGGGGACAGTTATTCTTTCCAACACAGCACCCATTCCCCTGTATTCAATCCCCCTTTACCCCAAATATAGTTGGGGCCTGGATGATCGGACTCTGGTGGACACCCCCACCAGAAGCTCTGGGACTCAGGAGGTGGGACAAGGAGAAGCCCAGACAGGAGCCCTCTGACCTGTGACCATGATCACCAGGGGGTTGCTGGGTGCCGACCACTCAGTGGGGGAGTGCGGGTGAAAACCTCGACATCTGTAGGTCCCTGCGTGTGCTGGGGTCACAGGGCTAATGAGGAAACTGTTCCAGAATATTCTGTTGTAGAGCTCAGGGACAGGGACCCCATCTTTCTTGTACAGCGTGAAGATGTTAAACCCACGACGACAGTGACACCGAAGAGTCACGTGTCCTCCTTGAGGCACCACAGCGCTGGGCCAGGCAGAGCAGAAGGGCTTGTCCTGACCACCTTGGGGAGAAGGAGATGCCGCCTCAGAGAGGAGTATGTTGAGCTGCCCCTCCCTCCCTGTGCTCAGAAGATTCTCCCCATTTCTTCTTTCTAAGGCTCCTACCACACCTGGGTGCCTGGGGCTACAGGAAGGACCCATCCCGCATAGACGTGGCGTCTCCCTACAACAAAAGTGTCAGTTGAGAACTGAGCAGGTGCTGAGTAAGGGACTCTTACTAGATTTTAATACTGCAAGATTAGTTACACCAAACAACACAAAGTAGACATGGGGTGGAGGGTATGACCTTTGTGAATGGAATATTAGCTAATGCCTGAACCACAATAAACAACTGAGCTCCATCAGAGGATTTGGAATGGCAGGGTCGTGGCTGTGGTTCCCCCACCTCTTCTGGCAGAATGACAGCAGCCACACTGCAGCCCCTACCGTCATGGAAACGCTGGAGGGTGTGAGTTACCCTCTTGTCCTCAGAGGACCTGCTGTTCCTAACACTGCTACCCTTCCCTCCTCTGTCGGTGACACCACATCCCCCCACACACCCCAGCTTTGAGCACCTCAGTATCCCGCCTGGGCCACACAGAGCTCAACTCAGCCATGGGGAAGAAAGGCTGGGGAGGGCTAAGACAAAACAGAAGGCTGAGCATACCAGGATCTCCTCTTACTAGTTCATGAGAGACTCCCAGGATCTCCTCTTACTAGTTCATGAGAGACTCCCAGGATCTCCTCTTACTAGTTCATGAGAGACTCCCAGGATCTCCTCTTACTAGTTCATGAGAGACTCCCCCCAGGCCTTCCCATGGTCAGCCCATCAGCCCACCCTCTGTGCTGCCTCCCTCCCATTTCCGGAAAATTCACTTGTATTGGGGTGAAGATGGCAACCCATCATTTGGGGAAGGACTCACCCACGTGTGCCCACACACTCTGGTCCAAGAAGAACCCTGCAAAGAAAGATCATGATGAACTATTCATCTCGGCAGCAACCTACCCTTTCCTCCTGAGCCACTGGGCGCCACGCTGGACTGAAAATTAACTCATCCTCACCACTCACTTGCTTCAGAACATGGCTCTCTGCTGGGGAGACACCCAATCTGCAGGCCCATAGTGTAACCCTGGTGCTCCTTCCCTTCCAGGACTCACCAAGACATGCCAGGATGATGACCGTGGGTGACATGGACATGGTGCAGCTTCTGCTGCCAGGACGCAGTGACTCGGCTCGACTGACCGGTGCAGAGGATGTGGTGAGGGGCCCGGATCGTGCAGTTGACACATTGACCACAACATGTGAAGGGGACATAGGTAGGCTTCTTCTACGTCATATGAGGTTCAAGTGGTGAATCAGTCAAGGGAGGAATGAGGGTTTCTGAAAACTGCAGACTAGACTTGTCACTTCACATCATGCGCAACGGCCAGGCTCAAAACACATCTCAGACTCACTTACCCCTGCACGGGACGATTGAATTCTGCACTCACATGAGGAACTTTTGATGTATTTTTTTTTGTTTCTACCTGAGATTCAAACTCTCCTTGATATGTAATATGCAAAATACCTAATAGGTTTTATTAACACTATAGAGCAATCGTATTAAATAAATCATCATAATTTTCCATGGTTGTATTTTTCCTGTTAAGCCAGAAACAGATAAAATGATTTAAATCCCAGTAGAAAAGACTATATAGTTATTTCGCATCATAGAATTCCACCTTATTAGCAAAAACACAATATGTCAATTGAAGGTCTGGTCGTGTTATCTAGAATTTGTCTTATGACACAAGAGTCCAAATTCACAGTTCCCTGTCTCCCTTTTTGTCTCTCTGTAACGTGTGCTTTTTTTCTCCCTGTGTTGTTTGTGTGTCTTTCTTTCTCTCTCTCATTTGAGGAAAAAATATCAGACTGATAACATCCTCCAACTTGATACTGGAATATTGCAATAACTGAAGGTTGAAATCTACACATTTAATGTGCTGTCATTCTTACAAATGTCTCTTATTTACACCTACCTTTCTGGAGTTTGTAAGAACTTTTTCACTATGCATTTTAAATTTGTAAAACTCATAATTTTTAAAAAGGGATGGGTCTCACTGTTTGCCCAGGGTGGCCTTTACTCATTCTATAAGGCTGGCATCACCCTGATACTAAAGACAGAAAAGAATATTAAACAAAAGAAAACTACATGCCAATATTCCTGATGAGCATAGATGCAAAAATCCACAAAAAATACTAAGAACTGAATCCCGCAGCATATCAAAAAGTGAATCCACCATGATCAAGTCAACTTTATTCTTAGGGTGCAAGGTTGGTTGAACATACACAATCAATACATGTGATTCATCACCTAAACAAAACTAAAAACAAAAACCACATGATCTTCTCAACACACATGTAGAACATACTTTTTACTAAGCATTTCTTCATGTTAAAAGCCCTCAACAAGCTAAGCATTGAAGAAACATAACTCAATATAATAAGAGCCGCCTATGACAAACCCACAACCAACATCATACTGAATGAGTAAAAGCTGGAAGAAGTTCCCTTCATAAGTGAAACAAGACAAGAATGCCCACTCTCACCATCCTATTCAACATAGTACTTGAAGTCCTAGACAGAGCCATCAGGAAAGAGAAAGAATTATAAGGCATCCAAGTAAGAAGAGAGTAGCAGAGAGAGGTAGTCAAATTACCTCTGTTTGAAGATGAGATAATTTCTATACCTAGAAACCCCATAGTCTCTGCCCAAAGGCTCCTACATCTGAGAAACAAACTTCAGCACAGTTTAAGGGCAGAAAGTCAATGTACAGGCTGGGTGTGGTGTCTCAGCCTGAAATCTAGCACTTTGGGAGGGCGAAGCGGGTGGATCACCTGAGGTCTGGAGTTCGAGACCAGCCTGGCCAACATGGCGAAACCCTGTCTCTACTAGAAACACAAATATAGCCGGACGGGGTGGTACGCAACTGTAGTCCCAGCTGCTTGGGAGGCTGAGTCAGGAGAACCGCTTGAACCTGGGAGGCAGAGGTTGCAGTGAGCGGAGATCACGCCATTGCACCTCAGCTTGGGCAACAACAGTGAAACTGCGTCTCAAAAAAAAAGCCAAAACAAATTTAATTAATGAGGAAAAGGGTATTTGTGGTGTCCATCATGATGTTTTCATATAGGTACACATTGTGGAATGGATGAAACAACCTCTTTATCTATTTATTTTTTCACATACTTGTATGTTTTGTGTGTGTGGTGAGAACATGTAAAATCTAATCTCTTAGTAATGTTCAGTACACCATATGTTGCTATTAAATGGAGTCACCAAGACATACAATAGATCTCTTGAACCGATTTCTTCTAACTGAAATTTTGCATCCTTTGACCAACATCTCTTCAATCTCTCTCCTTCCCAGGTTCTTTCGACGACCATTTTACTGTTCCTCTAGGTTCCACTTCTTACACTCCACACATGAGATCATGTGGCATTTGTCTTTCTGTGCCTGGATTGTTTCCCTTAACATAATGTCCTCTAAGTTTTTTCACATTGTCACAAATGAGAGGACTTCCTTCTTTGTTGTAAAGGTTGTATAGTACTTCATTACGTTCCTATCGTATACCACGTTTTCTTTGTCCATGCACCCATAGATGGGCAGTAAGGGTGATTCCACATCTTGGCTGTTATGAATAATGCGGCTGTAAACATGGGAATGCAGATATCTCTTCAACATACTGATTCCACTTCCTTTGGATACATGCGCAGTAGTTGGATTGCAGACACATATGGGAATTCTATGTTTAATTTTTTCAGGAACTTCCAGACTGTTTTCCATAATGGTTGTGCTAATTTACATTCCCATCAACTGCATACAAATGTTCCCTTTTCTCCACATCCTCGTTAACCCTTGTTATTTTTTATGTTTTTGATAATGGTCTTTTTTTTTTTTTTTTTGAGACTCAGTCTTGCTCTGTCACCCAGGCTGGAGTGCAGTGGCACAATCTCGGTGTACTGCAACCTCTGCCTCCTGGGTTCAAGCGATTCCCCTGCCTCAGTCTCCAGAGTAGCTGGGACTACAAGTGTGCGCCACCAAACTCTGCTAATTTTTGTATTTTTAGTAGGGATGGGATTTCACCATATTGGCCAGGCTGGTTTCGAACTGCTGACCTCAGGTAATCTCCCTGCCTCGGCCTCCCAAAGTGCCTGAATTACAGGCATGAGCCACCATGCCCAGACTGTTAATGGTCATTCTAAGAGGTGTGAGGTGATATCTCATTCTAGTTTTAATTTTTATTTAGCTGATGTTTAGTAATGCTAATCATTTTTTCATATACCTTTTGGTGATTTGTCTTATTCTTAGAAATGTTTATTCAGATACTTTGCCCATTTTTTTAAGTTGGGTTATTTGATTTCTTACCATTGAGTTGTTTGAGTTTCTTATATATTTTGGATATTAATTCCTTATTAGATGTATGGGTGCAAATATATTCTCCCATTCCATAGGTTGTCTTTCCACTTGTTGAGTTTTTTTTTTTCTTTGCAGAAACTTTCAATTTGATATAATGTTATTTGTCTACTTTTGCTTTTGTTGCCTGGGCCTTTGGGTTAATATCCAAAATGGTTTTGCCCAAGCCAGTGGAGTTTTCCCTTGATTTCTTTTAGTAGTTTTTTTTTTTTTTTTAAGATGGAGTCTCACTCTGTTGCCCCGGCTGGAGTGCAGTGGTGCGATCTCGGCTCACTGCAACCTCTACCTCCTGGGTTCAAGTGATTCTCCTGTCTCAACCTCCCGAGTAGCTGAGATTACAGGCACCCACAACCACACCCAGCTGTTTTTGTATTTTTAGTAGAGGCGGGATTTCACCATGTTGGCCATGCTGGTCTTGGAATCCTGACCTTAGGTGATCTGCCCGCCTTGGCCTCCCAAATTGCTGGGATGATAGTCTTTCATCTTACATTTAAGTCATTAATCTATCTTGAGTTGACTTTGTATGTTTTGTGAGGCAAATGTCCACTTCCATTCTTCTGCATGTCTCCCAATCCCATTTATTAAAGAGACTGTTCCTTCTCCATTGTGTGTTCTTGATACATCCCAAAAATTGTTTGACCCTAAATGCGTGCATTTTTTTTCCTGGGCTATGAATCACTTCCATTGGTCTATGTGTCTGTTTTTATGCAAGTACTGTGTTGTTTTAATTACTGTAACTTTGTAATGTAGTTTGTGTTTAGGTAATGTGATTCTTCCAACTTTGTTCCTTTCCCTCTAGATGGCTTTGGTTATTTGAGATCTTTTGTGGTTCCACATGAATTTTAGGACTGTTTTTTCTATTTCTGTAAAAAAAATGTCATTGGATTTTTGATAATGGTTGCATTGAATCACTTTGGATAGAATGGACATTTTAACAACATTAATCCTTCTGATCCGTGAACATGGAATATCTTTCGATTTATTTGTTTATTTCTTGAGTTTTTTCATCAATGTTTTATAGCTTTTGCATACAGATCTTTCTACTCCTTGGGTGAATTTATTCCTGCATGTTTTGTTTTCTGTAGTTATTGCAAATGGGCTTATTTTCTTGTAAACTTTTTTGGATAGTTTGTTGTTAATGTATAGAAACTTTGTTGTTGTTGTTGTTGTTGTTTTGATGATACCCATCCTAAGGGGTATGAAATGGCATCTGGTGTAGTTTTAGTTAGTATTTCCCTAATGATTCGTGATGCTGAATATCTTTTCATGCGTATGTTCTTTGGAGAAATGTCTGTTTCAGTACTTTGCCCATTTTTGAATTGAGTTTATTGTGATTGAGTTTTAGGAGTTGTCTGTATATTCTGGATGTTAATCCCTTACAGGTGGTGTGGTTTGAAAACATTTTCTCCCATTCTGTGGGTTGTCTTTTTACTTTGATAATATCGTCTTAAAAGTTCTTTTTCCTTGCCATGTGAAGTAACTGATGTTGTCTTTTGAGTCACAATATTTCAAAATTTTCATAAAGTCTAACTTGTTTATTTTTTCTGTAGTAGCCTGTGCCGTTGTTGTCACATCTAAAGAATCACTGCCAAATCCGATGTTGTGAAGTTTTCCTTTGTGTTTTCTTCTAAGACTTTAATTAAATTTTATTTGTCAATATTTAGGACTGACAAAAGCTTTTTAACATTCCTGGCACCATCTCAGTTATTGATCTACTCCCAAGATGGATCATTTCAATTAAAACATGTAAAGCATGACCTCACCTGAATGTGTTTGAACTTGCTCTTCTCCCTTTCAAATCGACTCCCTCACTTACATAGTTTGTGTTCAAATGTCAACAAATAAAACATAAAAAGAAATCAATCTTTTCATAGACCCTTTATCTAAAATAGAATAGTAGGTGCCATGACATTTCATCCTTTCATCTTGAATTATTTACTTTTCTACATGAACCAATCCATTCTTCTGTGTGCATGTGTGTGTGTGTGTGTGTGTGTGTAGTTTATCTGTCTACATATAATGTAAACACCAAAAAATAACAGACATTTAGTAATTTTCAAATGAGACTTCAGGAATTAACAATGGCTTGCCATTTTTAGTGTGTTATTATTATTATATTTAGATGAACAGAATTGCCTCAGGAACATGGCCAGGGGCTCATAGTCCAGGAGAACTGTGGCCTGACTCAGGTACATTTTACCTGCAATAACAGCAATTGCAGGTCACTGGAGTCCATCACAATTGGCTGGAGACAAATGTAAGACAAGAATATTTGCAGTTTCCCCAGACTGACACAGTTGCAGGTTCCCCGAAGTAATGAGTCCTGAGACACCTCCAACAAGAGCTAGAAAAGGTATCACTTCAAGAGGAGTTGCAGCCTACTCATTTTAGACAAATGGAGCAAAATTACAGTATCACATCTTTTCCTTTCTCCTTCATAGAATCTGGATGAACAGAACAGAAAGAGTTAATGGAATATAAGATTCCAATTCTCTGGCATGAGAAAATAGACAAGGAAAGGAAGATTCATCTTCATCACATCTCAGACATGCTTGGACACAGGGTCCAAGCACAAAAGAGAAACACATACTTCTTCCCATCCACACTGGGATCCAGGGTCTTCTCCCTCCTGTCAGGCCAGAACTGAGTCTCCACTCCCCAATTTAGTTCCCAGAGATGAAGCCCAATTTTCCTCTGTCTCAAGCTTTGAAGGCCAGCTTTAGCGTGTTCACCATGGATGAATGAAGGTGAGGTCAGAGGTTTGGGAAATGGTCAAGAATGAGGTGAGAAGAGAGCTGTGGAGGCATGGCCCCGGGGAGCTTGGTACCCCCCCATATCCAGAGCCTGTCTGGTCCAGGAGAGTTCCCAACCCTGTGAGCACCAACTCCGGATATTCTGGGCAGTGACCCGAGGGACAGCCTCTTATGAATACAGGCTGTTTTCCTCCAGTGTCTGCTGTGAAACCAGGATGTACAACATGGCCGTGTTCAACCCAACAATGGACTTAGGATTTTGCTGTACGCCAAAACTCAGTGTCCAACTTCCACTCTGTTTAGCTGGAAAAAGAAGGGGTTTGTTCCCATACATCTCACTCCTGTGTTCCTCTTTCAGTCTCAAAGCTCAGATGAAAACAATGAGTGTCACTTATTGTCAATCCTCTTCCCTGCCTTTTCCACACTCATCAGTATTACCGTTTACATTGAGACTAAAGATGGCCAATCACCACTTTTCTTCGGAAAAATCAACCTGATGTTGTACCTACTTTTTTAGAGGTGGAATCAACCTACCCTAAGATGCCAACTACATTTTACTGAATGGACTTTTGTGGATCCCCTCGATGTATATAGTGGCACCTTGAGGTATCATCCCTGTCTTTAGCAAATGAATATTATCCCAAGGACAATATTTCATCACAATTATTCGGGATGGACGAGTGGATATTGTGGTAGCAAGAACATTACTAAAAGTCACAGCTGATACAACACACTTGAAACCCATCTGGCCAATCTCCCACAGACAGAATGTCGCGCCATTCACTCCAGCCAGCTTCAGTCATGTTTCTTCCATTTCCACCTGTGGCCCCTCATGTCTCCACCAGGTCTTAGCCAGCATTGCCAAAAGAGCCAGGAAGACCAGACCAGCCACAACAATCCTGATGGAACTCTCCACAGTATAGTTCTGGAGAACAGGGGCTGGAGGGTGGGGGTAAGATCAGAGACCTTTCCATGTGGGCCAGGCCCCTCTCTCCCCAGAAGCTCTGAAATGGAGCTATTTCCCCATCTCACCTTCATAAAATTCTTCCTGTCCAGAACCCCTCTTCTCCCTATATCATCATGAGCACCTTCAGAAGTCTTTTGCCACAAAAAGAAATTTCTTTTGAAGATATACATTTTTTTGTACATTTCAAAAATGTTCCCAAACTAATTCTCCAAAGCAATAAATGTTTGTGTGTATTGCTGGGTAGGTTATGCATACAAGGAAAGGAAGCATAGTGAGTCTGATTTGGCAGAGGAAACATATGTGGAAATTATATCATTTACTCTCTTTACAAAATTAAGTACAAAATTGAAAACACTGGTAAGAAAGAATGAGCTATAGAGAAAGAAAACATCTGAGATGCTTGTTTCCAAGATGGCTGACTAAATGCTTTTCTGGCATGTCTCATCCACTTAGAAGAACGAGCAGAATCCAGAACAAAAACCATATGATCATCTCAATAGACATAAAGAAAAGCATCTGAAAAGAAATTCAACATCCTTACCTGATGAAAACCCTCAAAAACTTAGGCATAGAAAGAACATACCTCAAAATAATAAAAGCCATAGATGACATATCTAGAGTCAACATCATACTGAACAGGAAAAGTTAAAAGCACTCCTCTGAGAACTGGCACAAGACAAGGACACGGACATCCACCACTTCCTATCAACATAGTACTGGAAGCCTTGTCAGAGCTATTGGGCAACAGGAAGAAGTAAAAATCCAAATTAGAAAAGAGGAAGTAAAATTATTTTTATTTCTGATGCTATGATCTTAAATCTAGAAAATCCTAAAGACCCTGCCAAAAATTCTTATGATTGATAAATGAACTAAGTAAAGTTTCAGAATACAAAATCAATATGTAAAAGCCGGTAGCATTTCTCTACACCTATAATGATCTAGCTGAGAACCAAATCAAGAAGGCAATGCCGTTTACAATAGATACGCAAAATTAAAACACTCAGGAATACATTTAACCAAGGTGGTGAAAGATCTGTACCAGGAAAGGTGTAAGACACCAATGAAAGCAATTATAGATAATACAAAAAAAAAAAAAGAAAAAAAATCCCACGCTCATGGATCATAAGAATTAATATTGTTAAAATGACCATACTGCCTAAAGCAATCTACAGATTCAGTGCAATTCTTATATGAAAATAGTAACACCAGTTTTCACAGAATTAGAAAAAGCAATCCTAAAATTCATACAGAACCAAAAAAGATCCTAATAGAGAAAGCAATTCTAGGTGAATGTAGAAACCTGGAGGCATCATGCTATCTGACTTCAAACTATGCTCTAAGGCTATAGTAACTTAAATAGCACAGTGCTGGTATAGACACAGAAACAGAGATCAATAGACCAGAATAGAGAGCCCAGAAATACAGCCTCATATCTACAGTGAATAATCATTGACGACGTTAACAAAACATACACTGGAGAAAGATTTCCTTTTCAATAAAAGGTGCTGGGAAAACTAAATAGCCATATGCAGAAGAATAAAACTGGACCTGTATCTGTAATCATACACATAAATTAACTTAAGGTAATTAGCAGCTTAAATGTAAATCCAGAACTATAAAATCACCGGTGGAAACCCAAAGAGAAACTCTTCTGGGCATTGGTCTGGGCAAAGAATTCATCACTAAGACCTCAAAAGCACAGGCAATAAAAATAAAACTAGACCAATGGGACTTAATAAACGAAAGAGCTTCTGCCAAGCAAAGGAAATAGTAGCAGGGTGAACAGACAACCCACAGAATGAATGGAAATGTTTGCAAACTATGCACCCAACAGAGGACTAACATCCAGAATTTCTAGGCAACTCAAACAACTAAACATAACCCCTCAAATAATAGCATTAAAAAGTGGGCAAAGGGATATACATAGACATTTTTCAAAAGAAGACATACGAATGGCCAAACAGCGTATGAACATCACTAATCATCAGAGAAATGCAAATTGAAACCACAATGAGATATCATCTTACAGTAGTCAGAATGGCTATTACTAAAAATGCTGGTGGGGAGTGGTGGCTCACGCTTGTAATCCCAGCACTTTGGGAAGCTGAGGCGGGTGGATCATGAGGTCAGGAGTTTGAGACCAGCCTGACCAACATAGTGAAACCCCATCTCTACTAAATATACAAAAGATTAGCTGGGCATGGTGGTGTGGTTCTGTAATCCCAGCTACTCAGGAGGCTGAGGCAGGAGAATCATTTGAACCTGGTTGGTGGAGGTTGCAGCGCGTGGAGATGGCGGCACTGCACTCCAGCCTGGGTGACAGTGGAAGACTCCATCTCAAAAAGAAAAAAAGAAAAAGTGAAACATATAACAGGTGTTGGCAAGGATGCAGAGAAAAGGAAACTCTTATACACTGTTGGCCGGTATGTAAATTAGTATAGCCTCTATGGAAGACAGTATGGAAATTTGGCAGAGAACCAAAAATAGAAGCACCATTCGATCTAGGGGTCCCGCTGCTGGGTATCTACTCAAAAAATACCTGCACCTGTATGTTTATTGCAGCACTGTTTGCAATAGCAAAGATATGAAATCAATCTAAGTGTCTGTGAATGAATGATTGGATTAAAAAAAGGATGCGTGTATACACAACGAAATACTATTTGGTCATAAAAATAAAACCATGTCTTTTGCAGCAACATAGATGGAGCTGGACGCCATTATTTTACATAAAACCACTCAGAAAGACAAATACCACATCTTCTCACTCTACATGGGAGGGGAGTAATGTGTACATATGGACGTAGAGTGTGGAATGACGGACAGCGGAGGCTAGAAGGCTGGAGGGTGGCGGGACGTGGGTGAGTGATGAGAATTTGCTTAATGAGTACAATGTACGGTATTTGGGTGATGGATATAGTAAAAGTCCTGACTTCACTACTCTGCAACATACTCATGTCACAAAATTACAAGTGTACCTCATAAATTTATACTAATAGAAAAGAAAGTCTGTACACAGTAATCAATTGTGATATGTAGATAAAGTCAATATTAAATTTAAACCAGAATAACTAGTTAAAATGTTGTGTACACAACAGTGAAGAGAGTATTTATCCTCTATGACAGAGGAAACCATCAATATTAATGCACAGAAAAAGCAAATAACTGAAACAAGAAAGAGCAGTTTTGTGACAGGGTAAAAATTGACAACAGTTTTAGAATGCTCCTAACTTGAGTTCCAAAAAGAAAGAACGAGAAAACAGGTCAGAAGCAATCTTTAAAGAGGCAATTGTTGATTATTTGGAGGAAGTAGACACATCCATCAATCCACAGGTTCAAGAAATCCAGTGAATGCCAGGCAGAATGAAGTAAACACACCTCACGTTCAACATTACAGAAAAGCAGCATAAAAGCACAACCAACCCTTAAAATTAGCCAGAGGAAAAGGATCAGCTGGTAAGGATTTATAGGGAGCCAAGCATTGTCTTCCCCACAGAAAAAAGGAAAACATAAGCCAGTAGAATAGCATCTTTACCCAGCTAAGATACCGTCGCCAGCCACCGACAATTCCTTACATAGTACAGTTACTGTCCAAGATCAACGCAGGAAAGAAACAGAACTGAAAGACAAAAGGGCAAAGAAAGCTTTTCTCACTGACCCTAAAGGAAATTCTGATGACCGTGCCTCAAAGATAAAGAAAGTGAAACCAGATGGGGTGTCGAAGATTCTGACAATAACTAAGAGCAGAGGAAGAACTAAAAATATGGCTATGCCAAAAATGAATATGGACCATACGATAGTGTATGAAAACACGCCCCTGTGTAATTTCTGAAAAAGATAGAATTATGTATACCACAAAACAAAACATCATATAAGTAAATACAAACATATGTACTAAATATGCTCTAAAATCCTGTTCTTACACAGGAAGAGTGGAAATATGTTTTTATATTTGCAGTTTAATCTCTGAAATGATTAATTTCAATTTTAAAAATATGTAACAACTTCAGGATGAGTACACCATATATGTATTCCTAAACGACATAGATCAAAAATAGAATGTTTGAAATAGAAAACCACAGAAGTCAGTGGGAAAAAAAGGGAATCAGGAAAACACAACGTAATAATAACAAAAATATGATTGGAAGAACTGCTCAAACATGAACAAAAGATTGTCAGAAAGTCTTACTTTCTAAGGCGAATTGTTTGAAATTTACAAAGGACACATCTCAATGTTAACAATTCATGGAGTTTGAAATTAAACAATGTAGAAATATACCAAGCAATCACTGTTAGAAATGTGGTATAACTATATTAAAATTAGACAAAATTAGTCTTTGGGAAAAATCAGCGGAAAACATTAAGCATAAAATGTAGGAAAAAAGCAGGTAAATTTATAGCATTTTAAATTTACCAGGAATATATAATCAGTTTACACTTAACCACTCCCAGTAATATTCCTGCAAATATACATGGAGGAAGAGTCGCGGAAATAAATGGACAGGTAGGCAAATCCACGGCCACAGTGGGGTGTTTAACACTCCTCTTTTCTCAGTTGTTGATAGAAGTGGTTCAGGCAATTAGAGAGGATTTAGAAAGATAATTGCTGGACCTGACCCAAGGTATAAGTCCACTCCCAACCACAGGACTCACTTTCCTTACAAGCACAAGGGCATTTAGAAATCTCTCTGGATTCTGACCAGCCCTCACCATATGGCAGGTCCATGGACTTCTTGGAACACACCAAGCTCATTCTCACATTAGGGTCATCCCCAATGTCCTAAGTCCATGAAAGTTCCTTTCAACACACTCCCCAGGGCTCACTCCCTCTTGTCTCTAAGATCGGAGTTTAAATGTGATCTCTCTGATGAGGTCTCAGTGAGACGTTCCCTCCTGTACACTCCAAATGACAACGTTCCACGTTCATTCATTTCATTCTGTGCATGGCACTTTCACCAAGTGCTAAGGATTCACTCACTAATTCATACATTCATTCATTCATTCATTCACTCATTCCATCATTCACTCATTCATTCATTCTCTCATTCATTCATTCATGTTCTGCCTCTCTCTCCCACCCCACAGCAATGTGAGCATCATGAACCCAGGAGCTTGGCCGTGCTGTCTACTCCTGGCCGTGAAACAGAGAGAACTGATGGTAGGTGTGAAATAAATATTAGATGAATGAGTTAGTGAAGGGGTCATTTACTGGGTGAGCTCAGTTCTCTCTACTCTAATGCCCTCCCTCGGCTGACTTCCCTGAGTTGCCCCCTCGGCTGAGTGAAGTCCCTTCACTGGCAAATGGAACCTCAACCAGTAGCACCTAGGTGGTCTCATACTTTGTTCTTTCCCTCTCCTCTTGCTCCCTAAGGATTATCAATCTCCATGACAGGGCTGGAGAGCAGACAAGCCACACATTCTTTCTGGGGAGAGAGTAACATGGAGTACAAGGCATTCCACATTTAGGAAGAGAACTCAGTTATGGAAGGTCAGAAATGAAAAGTTCCTACAGACCAACACCCAGGTTGGTGGCCACAGCCCTAAATGCTGATGGAGAATCACTGCAAGTCTGTAGGGAAGATGTCTGGCTTGAGGCCACTGAGCGAAGTGGCAGATCCTTCTCAGCCTTCAGTGCTGAGCCTCTGTCCCCTCAGGGATCCACTGACCAATGAGAAGAGCCTCTTCTCATCTCCTGGGATGGAGCTTGGGGCCCCTGGCGAAGGAATGGGCCTGTTTCCACCTGTCATGTTGTCATCTAGCTTGGAAATCCTGCGAGTCCCAGGGAGGCCCTCCCCGAGTCCCCAGAGAAGACTCCCCCACTGAGTCTCCAAGGTGTGGAGAGAGCAAAAAACATCTAGGGTGGAAAATGCCTCCCATCAAGAGACATTGGGGCTCCCCCAACGATGGTTGCATCTGTGCCCCCCATGTGGAAATCACTCTTTGGTGAGAGGTGGGGGCTTCTGGAAATGGGCAATGGCGGGCGGCCAATGCTACCTCTAGTCTTTCCAATCTGAGCCCGGCCTTTCATGCTCCTGAGTCAGCATTGATGCTGTTTACATGTGTCCCAGGTGGGCTTCTGTACAAAGACTGGGAAGTGGTTTATGTGGCCTGTGCTCTATCTGCAAGCTTCAGGTAGGGTTGCAGTTACCACCCCAAACCCTAATGTGATCTGTCTGCCTCGCTCTGTCTGTCTGTCTATGCCTCTTTCTGTATGTTTGCTTTGTGTCTCTTCTGTCCAGCATCTCTGGCTGACACCCCCATGGCCACCCCCTCCATCTGAGGCTCCCCTGAATGTGGCCATTGTAGTCCATCTGAGTCCCACTATTTGGGGAACAGACTGGTTTCCTCACCTGTGACAGAAACAAGCAGTGGGTCACTAAGGTCTGACCACTCGTAGGGAGAGTCACGGAAAGAGCCGAAGCATCTGTAGGTCCCTCCGTGGGTGGCAGGGCCCAGAGGAAAGTTGGCCTGGAAGGTTCCATTGACCTTGGGCACTGCAGGGAACCTAAGTTCATGAGCCTCCCCCTCCCTTGATAGATGGTAGATGTCATAGGAGCTCCGGGAGCTGCAGGACAAGGTCACGCTCTCTCCTGCCTTAACCATGGGGCGCGGCTGGGCTGAGAGAGAAGGTTTCCCACATAGACCTGGAAGGAGAAGAGGCAGTTTCCTCAGGGAGGTTCTTCCTTGTCACAACTCCCCTCCCACCTGAGCTGAGAACTCACTCCCCTGCTCTATGGCCTAATGCTCTCTC
The DNA here is from genome assembly GCF_000001405.40 of Homo sapiens. NCBI lineage: Eukaryota > Metazoa > Chordata > Mammalia > Primates > Hominidae > Homo > Homo sapiens. Next base: position 91,485 of record NW_016107307.1, on the reverse strand, counting down.
TCTCTGTCTCACCCTCCACACCATCTCTCTTTATGTCTATTTCCTCTTTCCACCTTCTCTGTCTCTCTAGGTCTCTGACCTCACTTTCTCACCTCTAGATATGTTTTCCCTTTTTGGATTGTTTTATTCTCTCTGACTCTCCTTGGACTAGTTGACTTGATGTTACTTTTTTTAAATTCTGAGTTTCTCACTTTGTGTCCTGTTCATAACTTTCTGCATATTTCTATCTATTATCTATCGATATATCTATTTATCTATTTGGTGCCTATCTACAAATTCTCTACCTGTCATCTATATCTATATATAATCTATTTATCTATCAATTGTCTATCCAAAAATCATCTATTATCTATATCTATGTATCGTCTCTCTCTCTCTATGATTTCTCTTTGTCTGCCTCTCTATCTCTATGTATTATCTATCTATCTTCATCTTCATCATCTCTATGTATCATCGATTAATCAATGAATGAATCAATCATCATCTATGTATCTATAACCTATTATCTATCATCTACCTATTTATCATCTATCTATATCTATCCATCTATCATCTGTCTTGCTCTGCCTCTCGGTCTCTCTAGTTCTCTTTGGAATCTCTGCAATTCATCCCCACATCTCCATCTTTCTATGTCCTTGTGTCTCTCCCTCAGGACTCTAATTTTAGTGCTTTTCTCTGTTCCCTTCCATTGTTCTCTCCACTTCTCTGCCCTCTTTTCTCCCTCTTTATGTGTCTGTGAGTCTCTCAATCTCCTTCCTCTGGCTCATTCTCTGTGTGTTTATGTCTTTGCTTTTTGGTGTCCCTGATTTCTCTCTGTGTCTCTCAGTGATCCTCTCATATGTGGGGTTATTTGGAATGTGAGCCTCAGAATCCAGTCTGGGGACCGCAAGTTCACACAGTATACAGGGGTTGATGTTCTGGGGCCATGATATCCTGGGACGATTACTCTCCATTGCATGGAAGGCAGAGGTGTCAGAATAAACACGGCATCTGTAGGTGCCAGAAGGCCTGAGGCCACAGGGCCCAACTCAGGCCAGAAATATGGGTGTCCTTGGGTTCTTCTGGTAGAGAACACTTTGTGGAAGTAAAACAGAAATGAAACTTCTAACCTGTGCCAGGTCTCTGAGCAAAGTCAGCATGGAAGGACACCTCTCTCTGGCACATGTCTGTCTGTGTCTCCTTTAACTCTTTCTGTCTTTTCTAACTCCCTGTATGGCCCCTGTGTCTGTCCTCTGTTATGACACCTGGTCTGTACTTGTGTCTCCTGTTTCTCTGTCTCTGTTGGTACAGACCTCACCAAGTCAGTCTCTCTCCATAAGAATACCAAGCTCATCTTCCTTATAACCACCTGGGCCTCCAAGTCGTGGATCATTCACTCTGTGTCCCAGTGACAATGAGAATAATGTCCAGACACTCTCACCTGTAATCACGATGTCCAGAGGGTCACTGGGAGCTGACAACTGATAGGGGGAATGAGGAACAGAACCGTAGCATCTGTAGGTCCCTGCAAGGTCTTGCGTCATGCGACCGATGGAGAAGTTGGCCTTGGAGACCCCATCATGGAGCTCTCCAGTGAGGCGCAAAGTGTCATTAAACTTCCCCTCTCTGTGCAGAAGGAAGTGCTCAAACATGACATCTGACCAACATTGCAGGATGACTGTCTCTTCTGATTTCACCAGGGGACCTGGGTGGGCCAGGAGGGAAGGTTTTCTGTGGACTCCTAGGAAGAGAGGTTGTGACTTTAGAAGGCATCTCTCTTTATCATCCCATCCATGGCACCTAGAATGAGTGAGGCTTCCCCTCGCTGGTGTCTTATCTCTCTCCTTCCTCTCTGTGTCTTCATGTTCTTTTCTGTGCCCATAACTCCTGGTACAGGTCCTTCCATCTGTCTCCCTCCCTCTTCTCTGTCCCTCTGTCTCTAGTAGCTCCTGATTCCCTTGCCGCTGGGCTCAGCCTCATCTCTTGGGCTGTTGTATCTATTTCGAACTAATGTCTTTCCTGCTTCTATGTGGGGGTGGAAGAGGAACCAGGATAGGCTGCACGTCCAGGCTCTTAGCAGACTGGTTCAATCTCTTTTGGACGAATTGGAATCCTTGGCAGAAGGTATGAACTGATCAGTAAGGCAGGCACCAGTGTCCACACACCCTGTTCCTGGTGGGGACTGGGAGCCACTCTTGCCATGCCTGTGCCTTCTCCATGGTGCCAGCTTCCATAGGCTGGCTTCTGGTGCTGGTTTGAGGAGTATCAACCCCTCCCTATGTGGATGGAGCCTGGTGGTGGCATCATCATCCCACCCTTGCTGATCTCGGTGTAGCCAACCTTCTCTTTGTTTGGTTTCTTTAATTAATTAATTAATTTTGGAGTCAGAGTCTCACTCCTTCACCCAGGCTGGAGTGAAGTGGTGTGGTCTAGGCTCACTGCAACCTCTGTCTCCTGGGTTCAAGTGATTCTCCTGCCCTCAGCCTCCTGAGTTGCTAGGATTACATGCACCTGCCACCACGCCCGGCTATCCTTGTGTCCTTTCTTATCTTGTCCTTGACCTGGGTTCCAGTGTTGGTTTCCTGTTGGTGCTGTGGAAAATTATCAGAAGCATGGCAGCAGGAGAGAGCACACTGACCCCTTCCGTTTCTGGAGACAGAAATCGGACCCTGTTTTTTGAGGGCTAAAATCAAGGCATCTGCAGGGCTGCGTTCCCTCTGGAGACCCAGGAGAATCAGTTCCTTGACTTTTCCAGCCTCTATAGGCCACCTGCATTCATGGCTCATGGCCTTCCTCCACCTTCAAAGCTGATGGAGACTTCCATTGCACTGCTCTAATCGCCACTCCCCTCTTCCTTCTCCTCTCATGTGCACCCTTGTGATTACACTGAGCCCAGCAGGACAGTCCAGGCTGTCTCCCCATCTCAAGGTCAACTCAACAACCTGAGCTCCATCTTCCCCTTCAGTGCCTTCCCCTATAACATAAATAGTCACAGACTGCAGGGATTAGAATGCAGTCATCATTGGGGACAATTATTCTTTCCACCACAGCACCCATTTCCCTGTATTCAATCCCCTTTTACCCCAAATACAGTTAGGGTCTGGATGATGGGACGCTGGTGGACACTCCCACCAGAAGCTCTGGGACTCAGGAGGTGGGACAAGGAGAATCCCAGACAGGAGCCCTCTGACCTGTGACCATGATCACCAGGGGGTTGCTGGGTGCTGACCACCCAGTGAGGAAGTGTGGGTGTGAACCCCGACATCTGTAGGTCCCTGCATGTGCTGGGGTCACAGGGCCTATGAAAACGGTGTTTCGGAATACTCTGTTGTAGAGCTCAGGGACAGGCATCCCGTCTTCTTTGGACAGACTGAATTCGTTAAACCCAAGACGAGAGCGACACTGAAGAGCCACATGTTCTCCTTCAGACACCACAGGGCTGGGCCAGGCAGAGAGGAAGGGCTTGTCCTGACCACCTGGGGGAGAAGGAGGCGCCACCTTAGAGAGGAGGATGTGGCACTCCCTCCCTCTATTCCTTTCCAGGACTCACCAACACACGCCATGCTGACGACCATGAGCGACATGGTGCTGCCGGTGCAGACAGGCGGCCGCGCCCCAGCTCAGCTCAGCAGCGCACAGGATGTTATTTGGCGCCCTGCCCATGCAGCTTACATGTTGACTACATCATGGGAGGGTGACGTACGCAGGCTCTTTCTACCTTGCATGAGGCCCAGTGGATGCTTGCTCAAGAGCGGAACACGGCTTCCTGGAAATTGTTCTCACTAGAATTGGCACCTCACGTCCTTCACTATGACCAACTCACAACACGTCTCAGATCCAACCTCCCGAACACAAGATGCCTAAAATCTGTGCTAACGTGAAAGACTTTTCATGTATTTTTATCCGAACACGAGATGCCTAAAATCTGTGCTAACATGAAAGACTTTTCATGTATTTTTTTTGTTTTTATCTGAGATTCAAACTCTTCTTCCTGTGTAATATGCAAAGTATCTAATAGGTATTATTAATGTTTTCGGAGTCATTGTGACTAATAAACCATTAGAATTTTTCATGCTTGTATTTCTAGTATTACAGCAGAACCAGCTAAAATGATTTAAATTCCCAGGGAAGGATTATGCAATTATTTACAATCTTAGAATTGTACTTTATCAGCAAAAACCACACCTGTAAATTCTGGAGTTTTGTAGTTTAATCTAAAATTTGTCTCATGACCCAAGATTCCAGAGTCCCAACTCTGGAGTTTGCTCTCTGTCTGTCTCTCTCCCTCCCTCGTTTTAAATTTTACAGAAATATCCAGTAACATAATGCTATAGAAAATCAAGTTTTCCCCAGCACGTTGGGAAGCCGAGGTGGGCGGATCAACTGAGATAAGGAGTTTGAGAGCAGCCTGGCCAATATAGTGAAACCGTGTCTCTGTTAAAAATCCAAAAATTAGCCGTGCCTGGTGGCAGGCACCTGTAACGCCAGCTACTCAAGAGGCTGAGGCACGAGAATCGCTTGAACCTGGGAGGCGGAGGTTGCAGTGAGCTGAGATTGTGCCACTGCAGTCCAGCCTGGGCGACAGAGCAAGACTCCGCCTCAAGAAAAAAAAAGCAAACAGCCTATAATAACAAATTAGAGGGCTCTGGCTACTAAATTTAAAGGGTTCTATAAGGCTACATAAAGTGCAGCATCATCAAGAGTGTGGACACAGAGAGCCCCTTAGCAGAAACAGTGTCTAAAATACATCCATGTACACACAGTCCCTTTAGAGTTGACAAAGGCTGCCGTGTGGTTTAAGGTGGCATAGAATGTCTTCTCAATAAATAATATTAAACCAATTGGTTACACCTAGGAAAAAATAAATCTAACTCACACTATAAAAACACTTCTTAGTTTTTATCTAGTTGTACATTTTTTATGATTTATATTTAAATTTGAGAAATAAAAGTCATATACGGTCATCCTTCACTATTCGTGGGTGATTGGTTTTGAGATCTCCACTCAGATACCAAAATCTGTAGATGCTCAAGCCTCTTATATGAAATGGCACAGCGTTTGCAAATAACCTATGCACATCCTCCTGTATACATGAAATCATCTCTAGATTACTTATAATTCCTGATACAGCCTACACACAGCTTCATTTGTGTCCATTCAACATAGTTATGCTTTTTGAAACTCTGTGGATACTTTCTCTCAATATTTTTGATTTATACTTGGTTCAATAAACACCTGTAAACCCCGCAGATATGGAGGAGTGACTGTATATTTATATTATGAAAGATGATGTGTTGATATGTGTCCCCATGGAGATGAGACTAACAAGGCCTATGATTCTACAAATGTTTCATTGTGGAATGACTCTGCCAGCTTTCCAGGTCTGCAGAGAGTAAGAGTATCACTTGTTCATATGATTCGTGATCCTTGGAACCTCCTATGTGCTACATCTTTGGATGGAAATTGGAGTCCCAGAGACAAATGAGGCTCCACCCTGCTTCCAGAAACTCAGAGTCCGGGGATGAGAACTCAGTGGGGAACAGATGGGATTATATGGACATGGTACTGATAACACCGGAAGCCTTAGGCAAGAAAAGAGTCCCATTACCGAAACCATGGGGGCAGACATGTTTATTTGAAGGATGGAAAACTACATTGAAGTTATTTTAAAAAATATATAAGTTTTACTGCTGACAGAAGACTGAAAGCTAGTCTGAGGGGAGGTGGAACAGCATGAGGGAAGGTGGAACAACACGTGTCTAAGTGCTGCGTTAAGAGGGAGCCTCTTGTATGTTTGGAATTGTGAGTTCCTCAGTGTGATTGCAGCCTCAAGTAGACTAGGAAGTAAGCCAGTTAGGTTGGAGAGGTGGGCAGGGGTCAAGTGAAATGGAGAACTGTGGGTTAAGCAAAGGGGTGTGTTTTTTCTCCAGCAGGCAGTGGGGACCTTAGACATTTGTAAGCAAGTGAGAGGCACATTCAGATTTGTGGTGTGAGGAAGATCGATGCCCTAAGATGCAGACTCACGCCTTCAGATTCCAGCTGCTGGTACATGGGAGCTGGCAACCCGGTTTTGAGACAGGGCTGTTGTCTCCCTAGAAGACGCCCTCAAGGCCTGACTGTGGTGCTCATGGGCAGGAGACAACTTTGGATCTGGACTCAGCATTTGGAAGTTCCGTGTACACGATGATATCTGTTGGGGGTGTCTTGGGCCTCTGAGAAGGGCGAGTGATTTTTCTCTGTGTGAAAACGCAGTGATTCAACTGTGTGTATGTCACCTCCTGAGGGTCTTGTTCATCAGAGTCCTGGAGAGAGGGAAATGCTGAGTGAGGGAGGGTGCTCACATTTTCCAGGACTCTTTGGGAATAACAGTAGCCACGAGCCCGGGCCGAGGAGTACCTACCTCGCTATTCGCTGTTCTGTTTCCTGCAGACTCTTGGTCCATTACCGCAGCATCTGTAGAAGATGGAAGTCAACAAAACAGCTCGGAGGGCACTTCTGGGTCCTCATTTCATAAGCAGATACCAACATACAGGGGGAGACCATAGGTGGCTGAGGTCCCTCAGTTGCCAACAGCAGACTCAGACATTCTATCTCTCTGAGCTCAAGGACCCATCCCATGAATAGCTCTGAGTTCCCATCCCATTGATTCTGTCTCCCACTTTCTGCCTGTCATGGAACCTTCTCCTGGATGTGAGTGGCTGCAGGGGACATGGGGATACAGTTCAGAATCAGGCAACGGTCTGTGAGTTGAAGGCAGGGACAGGGAGTCTGGTGCCCTCTCTAGAAAGTCCTGCCTCTGTGGCTGCTGCCTTGGGCCAGGGACCATCCTGTTTGTGAGGAACACACACCTGAGTGCTCCCATCCTGCTTCCCCACATGGCCCTGAGCTCTCTGGCCTCTGCTTCGTGAGACTTACTTTTTTTGTTGGAGCACCAGCGATGAAGGAGAAAGAAGAGGAGGATGAAGAGGATGATGACCACTGAGGTCCCAATCAGAATGTGCAGGTGTCGGGGGTTACCTGGAAGAAGATGAGACACCAATAAGAAGCTAATCTTAGCAGTTCCTCTTTATGAATTGTCTCGCATTTCTTGATTGACAGGTAACCACATAAAACACCTCTTTAGGACAAGCACCCAGATGGCAGGAGACCCAGCTTTCTCCTGCTTTTTCAGTTATAGCTCTCATAGTAACCATAGAACGTGCTGAGGATACGACTACTTTAGTTGAGATGTTTGACCCCTTCAAACCTCACATTGAAATTTCACCCCCACTGTGGGAGGTTGGGCCTCTTGAGAGGTGTTTGGGTCATGGAGGTGGATCCATCATGAACAGACCAATGCTGTCCCAAGGAGACGGGGTTAGCAAGTTCCCCCTCTATTAGTTCCCGGAGAGCTGGTTGTTAAAAAGAGCTTGGAAGCTCCATCACTCCCCCTCCCCCTTGCTCCCTCTCTTGCCGTGTGATCTCTGTGGTCTCTGCACAGACAGACCCTCCTTCCCTTCTGCCAGAGTGGGAGCAGCCTGAGGCCGTCACGAGAAATAGATGCTGGTGCCATGCTTCCAGTACAGCCTGCAGAACGGTGAGGCAAACCAATCTCTTTTCTTTAGAAGTTACCGAGGCTCAAGTGTTCCTTTAGAGCAACAAAAATGGCCTAAGACAGCAACTTCCTGAGATCAGGAGGAACGTCTCAGAACACCCTGGGCTGTCTTCCTGTTCTTCCTGGAGGACGTCATGCAGTGCTTTAGCTGAGTGCTTCCTGTGGCTCCAGGGTACAAAACCCAGGCTGGGCTGCTTTCTGGCTTCCCGCAGCTACACTGCAAATGGGGTGACTCCATATGTCCCGAGGAGCTTTTCTGAGCCTTGAGGGACTGGGTCACATTGAAATATAGGTTTCTGTTGTCACTCGCTGCTTATCTGTTAGTAATGAACCTGCCTATGTAACGTATTCTCTGTGTGTTCTGTCTCCCTGGAGTGACGGTGAGTGATAGGAATTGGCATAGGCCCAGGTGCAGTCCAGGAGGTGTTTAGAGTCTTCTCTGGGAAGACTGGACTGGGATTGATTCACAGCGAATGTGCTTTAGGGTTTCTACATCCACAGCATTCTTGAATCAAACAACTTGCATTCTCCAAGGAAAGAAAACAAAAGTGAAATCAAGATAAAAAAAGCGAAATAGAATTCTCTTATGTCAAACGGCCAGGAAATAGTGTTGAAGCCCGTGTGAAACCTGCTGCTCTTTGTGATCTCGGGAGACACATATTAGGCTGCTGTTCTACCCGAGAGGCTGGGGGAAGGACCACCCCCTCGGCCATCTATTGCTTCAAAACCACCTGTCCTCCTGTGAATTAGTAGGAAAGGGGAGCAGGAGCTAGTGCTGTCGCTGATCTCTGATTCCAAGATCTGGACTCACTCCAAGGAGTGTTAATGTTTACCTCCCCATGGTCTATCTGAATCTCCACAGGTGATTGGAAGTAGGGGTGAGGTGGGGGATTTGGGTGAGTGGGCAAGTTTTTTTTGTGATGACCAGAGCACTTTCTCTATTCCAGGATCTGTGCTGGAGGATTCAGCGGGCTTTCACATTTTCTATATGATCTCATGCTCACAGAAAGCCAAATAGGGAAGAGGTTTTAGGCTCATTGCCTAATGGATAAGATAAAGGATCAAAGAAGTAATTATAGAGAAATAGAAAAACGATGATTGGAATTCAGGTGCCTTTGTCATTCGTGTGTGTTTTATTATATTTATGTATTTCTTATTTTTATTTTTTGAGATAGAGTCTCCTTGTGTCCCCCAGGCTGGAGTGCAGTGATGCAATCTCCACTCACTGCAACCTCCACCTACTGGGTTGAAGTCATTCTCCTGCTTCATCCTCCAGAATAGGAGCTGGGATTACAGGGATGCACCATCGTGCTCGGCTAATTTTTGTATTTTTAGTAGAGATAGGGTTTCACCACGTTGGCCAGGCTGGTCTGGAACTCCTGACTTCATGGAATCCACCCACCTTGGCCTCCTGCAGTGCTAGGTTACAGGCGTGAGCCACTGTTCACAGACTTGTATATTATGCTATAATAAGTCTCTTCATTTCCACCACCACTCATATATCTGTCACTCCTTTGCCAGGTATTGATTTATGTGTAGGATGAATAAATCTCAGAAAGAAATTAATTAAGCGAGGATTAAACAAGTAGGAAAATCAAACCCAGTAAGCCTTTCCAGTCAATGATTCTACCTCACAAACATATCTTATATCCATCTACTTCATTCATTTAGTGTCTAAATCAGCACCACATTTCACCAGTGGGGCGGCAATTGCCTTTTCCACGGTCTCCTAGATTCCAGTTATGCACCTGGGCCTCCCTTATTTTCATGTCAGTCATATTAATCATGTAGGGATTCCTGGTTACCCCGAGGTGAATCCAATGGCTGTGAGTGTCAAACACACACTCCTTGTTGCTCCTTAGTTTCCTGTGTACCCAGTGTGCTCTCCGTCTCTCTACAGTCGTCTTGTCATTCTCCCCACCTCATTCCCAGCATTTGAGTCAGAGCCTCTTCCTTCCACATCAGATTGTTTTCACCTTTGTGCCTTCATGGCTGACAGCTGTGTGTGCAAAATCCTTCCGCCAATCTTTCAGGGGTTCATTCCGTGTTTTTCATTAATGTCACAAATATCTGAATAGTGAGACCTTCTTTGTCACCTGAAATCATACACTCAGCATTATCTATTATTGATTTTGAATTCTGGCTGGGCACAGTGGCTCACGCCTGTAGTCCCATTACTTTGGCATGCTGAGACGGTCGGATCACTTGAGGTTGGGAGTTTCAGACAAGCTTGGCCAACGTGGTGAAACATCCTCTCTACAAAAAATATACAAAAAGAATTAGCCGGGCACGGTGGCAGTTGCCTGTAATCCCAGCTACTCGAGAGGCGGAGGCAGGAGAATCACTTGAATCCAGGAGACGCAGGTTGCAGTGAGCCAAGATCGTGACACTGCACTGTAGCCTGGAAGACAGAGGGCGACTCTGTCTCAATAAACAAAAGAACAAACAAAAAATAGATTTCATGCACAGATGCTTCCCAATGGACCATTCATTTATAGATCCACTTGTGCGTTCATTTTCTGCCCTCCCATTTAACCATCTGCAATATCAGTGTCCCAAGGGCAGAGGCCAAATGCATCTTGTTCACTGTTTGTGGAAGGCAGGAGAATGCTGTCCCACCCCAAAATGTCCCTGTCCTAGCCTCCATAGCTTGTGAATATGTTATTTTACATGGAAAGGAGGAATGAAGATTGCAGATGGAATTATGGTTGCTAATCAGCTGAACTTAAAACAAGGGTATCCTGGATGATTTCCAGGAGATTATGAGGGATTTTCATCTTGGTGAACCCAATAGAATCCCCAAGTTTTCAAAAGATGAGGAAGAAGGGAGAGCAGCACTCAGAGAAAGAGGTGTGGTAAGGAAGAAGGCACTGAGTGATGCCATGTGAGATGTGACCAGTCTTTGTGGGCTTTGAGGAAGGAGGAAGGGGACCAGGAGCCAAGGAACTGGGAGCCTTTAGAAGCTGGGACAAGTGAGAAGCAGATTCGTGCCTGGAATCCTCAGAGGGAAGGCAGCCTTGCTGTCACCTTGATTTTAGCCCAGTAAGATGCACTTCCTACTTTGAGCTACAGCACTGTAAGATAATTAAAAAACCGTTTTGTTTTCACCCACGAATCTTGTGGAAATTTGTTATGGCAACAATAGGAAAAGGTTCCACACTGCACAGCCTGAGCATGGGGCCGTGGCTGAATGAGTCAGTGAGTCGAAGTGTGCGTGCATGAGCTCTGTTCTCTGTTACGGCAAGGCTCTTTCTCTGCGGAGTCAGCCAGGGTTGCTTCATGACCTACAGGAGCTCATTCCTTGGCAAGTGGAACTTCTCTAAAACACCTTGCCCTCATCAGATGTTCCCTTCCCTTCCCTCTCTCAAGTCTCCAGGAATTTATCCTCCAGTTAGGAATGCAGGTAGAACAAACATTGCATTTTTCCTGAGAAGGATGTCAGATTGGCAATCATTCTTCTAGCTTGTAGGAGGTCTCAGCTCCATAAAATGAGAGATGAAGAGATTTCACTGAGCCCTGTGTTGGGCCCAGATCCCTTTCGCTGTAGGAGTATCTGGAGTTCGGAGATGGTGGAAGACAAGTGTACAATGTCAGAGCTGTGAGATGCTGAGTCAACGCCTGAATCCAAGGTTCCCACCTCCCCAGGGTTCCAAAAGCGGATATAAGAGGGTTCTGTACTCACCGGTTTTGGAGCTTGGTTCAGTGGGTGAAGGCCAACTATTTGAAGGGTTTCCTAGAACATGAGACAGGAGAGAGGTGAGGAAATGAGGGTGTCTGTCCTCCACTCAGTGGAAATCTTTGAGGATGGTTCATGGCCAACACTCTCTTATCTAATATTGAGCCCTGGGAGTCCTGGGATCCTTTTTTCCATAATTTTTTTATATGACACCCACTGTCTTGAGACTTCAAGATATAAAGAGAAAACAGGAGCATCACACTACCTGATCTCAAAATATGTTACAGAGCTGTAGTAAGCAAAATAGCATGACATTGGCATAAAGAAAGGCACATAGAACAACGGAGCAGAATGAATAACACAGATATATTCCATGCATTTACATCCAATGGTTTTTTATTTTTTCTTTTGAGATGGAGTCTTGCTCTGTCACTCAGGCTGGAGTGCAGAGGTGCAATCTCGGTTCACTGCAACCTCAGCCTCCTGGGTTCAATCATTCTCTTGCCTCAAATTCCTGAGTAGTGGTATTACAGGTGCTGACCACCATGCTCAGCTAATTTTTATATTTTTAGTGGAGACGATGTTTCATCACGTTGGCCAGACTAATCTTGAACTCCTGGCCTCAGGTGATCCACCCACCTCGGGCTCCCAAAGTGCTGAAATTGCAGGTGTTAGCCACCAAGCCCAGCCCATCCAATGGACTTTGACAAAGATGCCAAGAACTCACAATCAGGAAAGGACAGTCTTTTCAATAAACAGTGCAGGGAAACCTGGACATCTACATGCAGAGGAATGAAACTGCAACTCTACCTGTCACCATACACAAAAATCAAATGAAAATGGATTAAAGATGTGAGTCTAAGGCCTGAACCTATGAAACACGTAGAACAAAATATTGGGGAAATGCTCCAGGACGTTTGTCTGAAGGAAGACATTTTGTTTTAAACCTTCAAAACACAAGTAATCGAAGCAAAAATAGACCATTGGGATTACCTCAAACTAAGCAACTTCAGCACTGCTAAAAATAAACCAACAAAGTGAAGAGACAACCCACAGATTGGGAGCAAATATGTGCAAACTATGCATCTGAGATGGGATTAATAACTAGAAATATAAGAAGCTCAAACAACTCAATAAAACAAATGATTTAATTGAAAAAGGAGCAAAAGACATGAAATTTCCCCACATACGAAAAAGTGCTCAGTATCACTCATCATCAGAGAAACGCAAATTAAAATCAAAGTGAGTTTTCATCTCACCCCATTAAAATGGCTTTTAGGCCGGGTGAGGTGGCTCACTTGTGTCATCCTAGAACTTTGAGAACCTGAGGTGGGTGAATCTCATAAGGTTGGGAGTTTGAGACCAGTCTGACCCACATAGAGAAACGCTGTCTCTACTAAAAATACAAAAATTAGTAGGGCGTGGTGGCGTGTGCCTGTAATTCCAGCTACTCGGGAGGCTGAGGCAGGAGAATCGCTTGAACCTGGGAGGTGGAGGTTGTGGTGAGCCGAGATAGCGCCACTGCACTCCAGCCTGGGTGAGAAGAGCAAAACTCCATCTCAAAATAAAATGAAATAAAATAAAATGGCTTTTAGCTGCAAGACAGGCAAAAGAAATGCTGGCAAGGTGGTAGAGAAAGGAGAACCCTGGTACCCTGTTGGGAGGAGTGTAAATTAGTACAGCCATTACGGAGAAAAGTATGGAAGTCCTTTAAAGAACTAAAAAGAGGTTGGGTGAGGTGGATCATGCCTGTAATCCCGGCACTTTGGGAGACTGAGGCGGGCACCTCAGTTGAGGTCATGAGTTTGAGAGCAGCCCAGCCAACATGGGGAAACCGCATCTATACTAAAAAAACCAAAAAGTAGCCAGGCATGGTGGTGTGCACCTGTAATCCCAGCTACTAGGGAGGCTGAGGCAGGAAAATCATTTGAACCCAGGAGGCGGAGGTTGCAATGAGCCAAGGTTGCACCACTTTGACTCCAGCTTGGGCTAAGGAGGGAAACTCTTTCTCAAAAAAGAAAAAAAAAAAAAAAAAGAGAACTTTCATAGTATCCAGCAATTTCACTACTGGGTTTATATCCAAAGGAAAGTAAATCAACATATCGAAGTGATATCTGCACTCGTATGATTGGTGCAGCACTGTTCACAGTAGCCAAGATGAGGAGTCAACCTACCTGCCCATCAGTGGGTGAATGGATAGAGAGAATGTAGTACATACGCACAGTGGAGACTACTCATCCATAGAAAGAATAACATCCTGTCATTTGCAGCCACATGGATGGAACTGGAGGTCATTAAAAAGATTCCCATTTCTCACCCATATACAGGAGCTAAAAGGTGGATCTCATGAAGGTAGAGAGTAGAATGGTGGCTACTGGAGGACAGGAAGAAAAGGGTGGAGGGTAAAAAAAATGTATATATATATATATATAAAAATGTATTTATGACCACTAGACTTTACACTTAAAAATGGTAAATGTGGCTGGGCCTGGTGGCCCATGCCTGTAATCCCAGCACTTTGGGAGGCTGATGCGGGTGGATCACGTGGTCAGGAGTTCGAGACCAGCTCGACCAACATGGTGAAACCACCTCTCTACTAAAAATACAAAAAGTAGCCTGGCGTGGTGGTGCGTGCCTGTAGCACTAGCTACTCAGGTGGCTGAGGCAGGAGAATCGCTTGAACCCAGGAGGCGGAGGTTGCAGTGAGCTGAGATTGTGCCACTGCACTCCATCATAGGGGACAGAGCTAGACTCCACCTCAAAAAAAAATGTTAAAAGTGGTAAGCTATATAGGTATATTTATCCTCAATAAATATTTCTTCAAAGAAAAGTAAAGGGTGTAGGGGTTGCTGGTGATGACATCTCTGTGTGGGTGAGAGGCCAGGATGGGCTTCTGGGAAATGGGTAAGGTTGAGGGGCTGAGGGAACCTCTGATCTCCCCAAACTGAGCCCAGTCTCCCTCCTCTGGGTCTCTCCTGACCGCTTTCTCCATCTGCCTGGGTGCCTGGAGCCCTGGCCGTGGGCCTCCATGCAGGCCATGTAGGAGGGTTTGGAGGTGCCCTGTCGGCCATCCTGTGCCCTGATCCCTCCCTCACACCGAGGCTGCGTCTTCTCTCTGCATCTGTCCATGCTTCTCTCCATCCTCAGCAGGAAGCTCCTCAGCTAAGGCTCTAGGATCATAGGACATGGGACAGCCATGGGCTTTCCTCACCTGTGACAGAAACAAGCAGTGGGTCACTTGACTTTGACCACTCGTATGGAGAGTCATGGAAAGAGCCGAAGCATCTGTAGGTCCCTCCGTGGGTGGCAGGGCCCAGAGGAAAGTCAGCCTGGAATGTTCCGTTGACCTTGGGCCCTGCAGGGAGCCTACGTTCATGGGCCTCCCCTTCCCTGGATAGATGGTACATGTCATAGGAGCTCCGGGAGCTGCAGGACAAGGTCACATTCTCTCCTGCCAGAACCGTGGGGCCCAGCTGGGCTGAGAGAGAAGGTTTCTCATATAGACCTGGAAGGAGAAGAGGCAGTTTCCTCAGGGAGGATCTTCTTTGTCACAGCTCCCTTCACCTGAGCTGAGAACTCACTCCCCTGTTCTATGACCTAATGCTCTCTCTCTCTCTCTCTCACCCTCTACCCCATCGCTCTTCATGTCTATTTCCTCCTTCCACCTTCTCTGTCTCTCTAGGTCTCTGACCTCACTTCCCCACCTCTAGATATGTTTTCTCTTTTTGGATTGTTTTATTCTCTCTGACTCTCCTTGGATTGGTTGACTTGATGTTACTTTTTTTAATTCTGAGTTTCTCACTTTGTGTCCTGTTCATAACTTTCTGCATATTTCTATCTATTATCTATCGATCTATCTATTTATCTATTCGGTGCCTATCTACAAATTCTCTACCTGTCATCTATATCTATATATCATCTATTTATCCATCAATTGTCTATCTATCCATCAATCATCTATTATCTATATCTATGTATCATCTCTCTCTCTCTATGATTTCTCTATGTCTGCCTCTGTATCTCTATGTATTATCTATCTATCTGTCTTCATCATCATCATCTCTATGTCTCATCTATTAATGAATCAATCAATCATCATCTATGTATCTATAACCTATTATCTATCATCTACCTATTTATCATCTATCTATATCTATCCATCTATCATCTGTCTTGCTCTGCCTCTCGGTCTCTCTAGTTCTCTTTGGAATCTCTGCAATTCATCCCCACATCTCCATCTTTCAATGTCCTTGTGCCTCTCCCTCAGGAGTCTAATTTTAGTGCTTTTCTCTGCTCCCTTCCATCATTCTCACCACTCCTCTGCCCTCTTTTCTCTCTCTTTATGTGTCTGTGAGTCTCTCAATCTCCTTCCTCTGGCTCATTCTCTGTGTGTTTATGTCTTTGCTTTTTGGTGTCCCTGATTTCTCTCTGTGCCTCTCACTGATCCTCTCATAAGTGGGCTTATTTGGAATATGAGCCTCAGAATCCAGTCTGGAGACTACAAGTTCACACAGCATACAGGGGTTGGTGTTGTGGGGCCATGATATCCTGGGACGATTACTCTCCATTACATGGAAGGCAGAGGTGTCAGAATAAACATGGCATCTGTAGGTGCCACAAGGCCTGAGGCCACAGGGCCCAACTCAGGTCAGAAATATGGGTGTCCTTGGGTTCTCCTGGTAGAGAACACTTTGTGGAGGTAAAACAGAAATGAAACTTCTAACCTGTGCCAGGTCTCTGAGCAAAGTCAGCATGGAGGGACACCTCTCTCTGGGACATGTCTGTCTGTGTGTCTCCTTTAACTCTTTCTGTCTTTTCTAACTCCCGGTATGGCCCCTGTGTCTGTTCTCTGTTATGACACCTGGTCTCTACTTGTGTCTCCTGTTTCTCTGTCTCTGTTGGCACAGACCTCACCAAGTCAGTCTCTCTCCATAAGAATACCAAGCTCATCTTCCTTACAGCCACCTGGGTCTCCAATTCCTGGATCATTCACTCTGCATCCCAATGACAATGAGAAGAAAGTCTGGACACTCTCACCTATGATCACGATGTCCAGAGGGTCACTGGGAGCTGACACCTGATAGGGGGAGTGAGTAACAGAACCGTAGCATCTGTAGGTCCCTGCCAGGTCTTGCGTCATGCGACTGATGGAGAAGTTGGCCTTGGAGACCCCATCATGGTGTTCTCCAATGAGGCGCAAAGTGTCGTTAAACATCCCCTCTCTGTGCAGAAGGAAGTGTTCAAACATGACATCTGACCAACACTGCAGGATGACTGTCTCTTCTGATTTCACCAGGCGACCTGGGTGGGCCAGGAGGGAAGGTTTTCTGTGGACTCCTAGGAAGAGAGGTTGTGAGTTTAGAAGGTGTCTCTCTTTATCATCCCATCCATGGCACCTGGATTGAGTCAGGCTTCCCCTTCCTGGTGTCTTATCTCTCTCCTTCCTCTCTGTGTCTTCATGTTCTTTTCTGTGCCCATAACTCCTGGTGCAGGTCCTTCCATCTGTCTCCCTCACTCTTCTCTGTCCCTCTGTCTCTAGTAGCCTCTGATTCCCTTGCCGCTGGGCTCAGCCTCATCTCTTGGGCTGTTGTATCTATTTCGAACTAATGTCTTTCCTGCTGTCTATGTGGGGGTGGAAGAGGAACCAGGATAGGCTGCACATCCAGGCTCTTAGCAGCCTGGTTCAATCTCTTTTGGACGAATTGGAATCCTTGGCAGGAGGTATGAACTGATCAGTAAGGCAGGCACCAGTGGCCACACACCCTGTTCCTGGTAGGGACTGGGAGCCACTCTTGCCATGCCAGTGCCAGCTTCCATAGGCTGGCTCCTGGTGCTGGTTGGAGGAGTATCAACCCCTCCCTATGTGGATGGAGCCTGGTGGTGGCATCATCATCTGAGCCTTGCTGATCTCAGTGTAGCCAACCTTCTCCTTGTTTGGTTTCTTTAATTAATTAATTAATTTTGGCGACAGAGTCTCACTCCTTTGCCCAGGCTGGAGTGAAGTGGTGTGGTCTAGGCTCACTGCAACCTCTGTCTCCTGGGTTCAAGTGATTCTCCTGCCCTCAGCCTCCCAAGTCGCTAGGATTACATGCACCTGCCACCATGCCTGGCTATCCTTGTGTTGTTTCTTAACTTGTCCTTGACCTGGGTTCCAGTGTTGGTTTCCTGTTGCTGCTGTAGAAAATTATCAGAAGCATGGCACCAGGAGAGAGCACACTAACCCCTTCCAATTCTGGAGACAGAAATCGGACCCTGTTTGTCGTGGGTAAAATCAAGGCACCTGCAGGGCTTCGTTCCCTCTGGAGACTCAGGAGAATCAGTTCCTTGACTTTTCCAGCCTCTATAGGCCACCTGCATTCATGGCTCCTGGACTTCCTCCACCTTCAAAGCTGATGGAGACTCCCATTATGCTGCTGTAATCCCCACTCCCCTCTTCCTCCTCCTTTCATGTGGACCCCTGTGACTACACTGAGCCCATCAGGACAGTCCAGGCTGTCTCCCCATCTCAAGGTCAACTCATCAACAACCTGAGCTCCATCTTCTCCTTCAGTCCCTTCCCCTATATCATAAATAGTCACAGACTCCAGGGATTAGAATGTAGTCATCACTGGGGACAATTATTCTTCCCACCACAGCACCCATTTCCCTGTATTCAATCCCCCTTTACCCCAAATACAGTCAGGACTTGCATGATGGGACCCGCAAGGACACGCCCACCAGGAGCTCTGGGATTCAGGAGGTGGGACAAGGAGAATCCCAGACAGGAGCCCTCTGACCTGTGACCGTGATCTCCAGGGGGTTGCTGGGTGCCGACCACCCACTGGGGTAGTGTGGTTGTGAACCCCGACATGTATAGGTCCCTGCGTGTGCTGGGGTCACAGGGCCCATGAAAAGGCTGTTCCAGAATATTATGTTGTAGAGCTCAGGGACAGGCACCCCATCTTCCTTTTACAGACTGAAGTTGTTAAACCCAAGATAAGAATGACACTGAAGAATCACATGTCCTGGAGGCACCACAGGGCTTGGCCAGGCAGACAGCAAGGGCTTGTCCTGACCACCGTGGGGAGAAGGAGGCACCGCCTTAGAGAGGAGGATGTGGAGCCGCCCCTCCCTCCCTGTGCTCTGAAGATTCTCCTCGCTTTCCAAGTTTCTATGGCTGCTATCACACCTTGGTGCCCAGGGCTAAAGGAAGGACCCATCCCGCAAACACAAGGTGTCTCCCTACAACAAAAGTGTCAGCTGAGAACTTTGAGCAAGTGCTGAGTAAGAGACTCCTACTAGATTTTAATACTGTAAGATTACTCACATAAAACAACACAGGGTAGACATGGGGTGGAGGGCATGTCCTTTGAGAATGGAATATCAGCCGATGCCTGAACGAAAATAAACAACTGAGTCCCCATCAGAGGATTGGAATGTCAGGGCCATGGCTGTGGTTTTCCCACCTCTTCTGGTAGAATGACAGCAGCCACACTGCAGCCCCTACCGTCATGGAAACGCTGAAGTGTGTGAGTAACACCTTTGTCCTCAGAGGATCTGCTGTTCCTACCACTTCCCCACCACACACCCCAGCTTTGAGCACCGTAGTCTAACCCTGGTCCCCACAGAACTTGACTCTGCCAAGGGAATGAAAGGCCAGGGAGGCAAGGTCAGAAATGTGGGCCCAGCACCCCAGGGTCCCTTCTTCCTAGTTTATGAGAGACTCCCTGACAGGACTTCCCTCCCATTTCAGGAAAATCCTCTTATGTGGGGAGATGACACCCGAAGGTTGGGAGAAGGACTCACCCTCATGTGGCCAGGCCCCCTGCAGCAAGAAGAACCCTGGAAAGAAAGATCATGATGGATGACCCATCTGCAGGCAAACCAGGGCACCCTTGCTGCCCCCACTGGGCTGTGAGTCTTGGTAGCCAGGCCCTTCCTGGGCTGAAGGTAAACTCACCCTCAGTGCCTACCTGCACCCAAGAACAGGGCTGTCGGCTGTGCAGAGACCCAGCCTCCAGGTCCATATCCCCACCTCAAGCCCATATCTCCACTCCAGGCCCATATCTCCACTCCAGGCCGATATTTCCACCCTAAGCCCATATCGCCAATCCAGGCCCATATCTCCAATCCAGGCTCAGATCTCCACCCTGGGCCCATATCTCCAATCCAGGCCCTTATCTCCACTCCAGGTCCATATCTCCTCTCCAGTCCCATATCTCCACTCCAGGCCCATATATCCTCTCCAGTCCCATATCTCCACACCCAGGCCCGTATCTCCATCCTAGGCACATATCTCCTCTCCAGGCCCAGATATCGACCTCTAGGCCCATATCTCCACTCCTGGCCCATATCTCCACTCCAGGCCCAGATATCGACCTCTAGGCCCATATCTCCACTCCTGGCCCATATCTCCACTCCAGGCCCATGTCTCCACTTCAGGCCCATATCTCTACTGCAGGCCCATAACTCCACCTCCAGGCCCATGACTCCACTCCAGGCCCATATCTCCACCTCCAGGCCCATATCTCCCCTCCAGGTTCCTATCTCCCCTCCAGGTTCCTATCTCCACTCCAGGCCCAGATCTCCACTACAGTCCCATCACTCCACCTCCAGGCCTATATCTCGACCTCTGGGCCCAGATCTCCACTTCTAGGCCCATCACTCCATCTCTAGGCCCATATATCCACTCCAGGCCCAGATCTCCACTCCAGGCCCATAACTCCACCTCCAGGCCTATATCTCCACCTCTGGGCCCAGATCTCCATCCCCTCACTCCCTCCCTCTATTGCTTTCCAGGACTCACCAACACACGCCATGCTGACGACCAAGAGCGACATGGTGCTGCCGGAGCAGACAGGCAGCCGCGACCGAGCTCAGCTCAGCAGCGCACAGGATGTTATTTGGCGCCCTGCCCATGCAGTTTACATGTTGACCACATCATGGGAGGGTGACGTACGCAGGCTCTTTCTACCTTGCATGAGGCCCAGTGGGTGCTCGCTCAAGAGCGGAACACGGCTTCCTGGAAATTGTTCTCGCTAGAATTTGACACCTAGTGTCCTTCACTATGACCAACTCAAAACACGTCTGAGATCCAACCTCCCGAACACGAGATGCCTAAAATCTGTGCTAACATGAAAGACTTTTCATGTATTTCTATTGTTTTTATCTGAGATTCAAACTCTTCTTCCTGTGTAATATGCAAAATATCTAATAGGTATTATTAATGTTTTCAGAGTCATTGTCACTAATAAACCATTAGAATTTTTCATGCTTGTATTTCTAGTATTACAGCAGAACCAGTTAAAATGATTTAAATTCCCAGGGAAGGATTATGCAATTATTTACAATCTTAGAATTGTACTTTATCAGTAAAAACCCCACCTGTAAATTCTGGAGTTTTGTAGTTTAATCTAAAATTTGTCTCATGACCCAAGATTCCAGAGTCCCAACTCTGGAGTTTGTTTTCCGTCTGTCTCTCTCCCTCCCTCATTTTAAATTTTACAGAAATATCCAGTAACATAATGCTATAGAAAATCAAGTTTCCCCAGCACGTTGGGAAGCCGAGGTGGGCGGATCAACTGAGATAAGGAGTTTGAGAGCAGCCTGGCCAATATAGTGAAACCGTGTCTCTGCTAAAAATCCAAAAATTAGCCGTGCCTGGTGGCAGGCACCTGTAACGCCAGCTACTCAAGAGGCTGAGGCATGAGAATCGCTTGAACCTGGGAGGCAGAAGTTGCAGTGAGCTGAGATTGTGTCACTGCAGTCCAGCCTGGGCGACAGAGCAAGACTCCGCCTCAAGAAAAAAAAGCAAATAGCCTATAATAACAAATTAGAGAGCTCTGGCTACTAAATTTAAAGGGTTCTATAAGGCTACATAAAGTGCAGCATCATCAAGAGTGTGGACACAGAGAGCCCCTTAGCAGAAACAGTGTCTAAAGTACATCCGTGTACACACAGT
The DNA here is from genome assembly GCF_000001405.40 of Homo sapiens. Lineage (NCBI taxonomy): Eukaryota > Metazoa > Chordata > Mammalia > Primates > Hominidae > Homo > Homo sapiens. The sequence goes on along the minus strand of NW_016107307.1, from coordinate 70,296 downwards.
CCCTTTAGAGTTGACAAAGGCTGCCGTGTGGTTTAAGGTGGCATAGAATGTCTTCTCAATAAATAATATTAAACCAATGGGTTATACCTAGGAAAAAATAAATCTAACTCACACTATAAAAACACTTCTTAGTTTTTATCTAGTTGTACATTTTTTATGATTTATATTTAAATTTGAGAAATAAAAGTCATATACGGTCATCCTTCACTATTCGTGGGTGATTGGTTTCGAGATCTCCACTCAGATACCAAAATCTGTAGATGCTCAAGCCTCTTATATGAAATGGCACAGAGTTTGCAAATAACCTATGCACATCCTCCTGTATACATGAAATCATCTCTAGATTACTTATAATTCCTGATGCAGCCTACACACAGCTTCATTTGTGTCCATTCAACACAGTTCTGCTTTTTGTAACTCTGTGGATACTTTCTCTGAATATTTTTGATTTATACTCGGTTCAATAAAGAACTGTAAACCCCACAGATATGGAGGAGTGACTGTATATTTATAGTGTGAAAGATGATGTGTTGATATGTGTCCCTGTGTAGATGAGACTAACAAGGCCTATGATTCTACAAATGTTTCATCTTGGAATGACTCTGCCAGATTTCCAGGTCTGCAGAGAGTAAGAATATCACTTGTTCATGTGATTCACGATCCTTGGAACCTCCTATGTGCTACATCTTTGGATGGAAATAGGAGTCCCAGAGACAAATGAGGCTCCACCCTGCTTCCAGAAACTCAGAGTCCGGGGGTGAGAACCCAGTGGAGAACAGATGGGGTTATGTGGACATGGTAATGATAATGGAAGTCTTAGGCAAGAAAAGAGTCCCATTACCGAAACCATGAGGGCAGACATGTTTATTTGAAGGAGGGAAAACTACATTGAAATTATTTTAAAAAATATATAAGTTTTACTGCTGACAGAAGGCTGAAAGATACTCTGAGGGGAGGTGGAACAGCATGAGGGAAGGTGGAACAGGACGTGTCTAAGTGCCGTGTTAAGAGGGAGCCTCTTGTATGTTTGGAACTGTGAGTTCCTCAGTGTGATTGCAGCCTCAAGTAGACTAGGAAGTAAGCCAGTAAGGTTGGAGAGGTGGGCAGGGGTCAAGTGAAATGGAGAATTGTGGGCTAAGCAAAGGAGTGTGTTTTCTCTCCAGCAGGCAGTGGGGACCTTAGACATTTGTAAGCAAGAGAGAGGCACATTCAGATTTGTGGTGTGAGGAAGAGCGATGCCCTAAGATGCAGACTCACGCCTTCAGATTCCAGCTGCTGGTACATGGGAGCTGGCAACCCGGTTTTGAGACAGGGCTGTTGTCTCCCTAGAAGATCCCCTCAAGGCCTGACTGTGGTGCTCATGGGCAGGAGACAACTTTGGATCTGGACTCAGCATTTGGAAGTTCCGTGTACACTCTGGTATCTGTTGGGGGTGTCTTGGGCCTCTGAGAAGGGCGAGTGATTTTTCTCTGTGTGAAAACGCAGTGATCCAACTGTACGTATGTCACCTCCTGAGGGTCTTGTTCATCAGAGTCCTGGAGAGAGGGAAATCCTGAGTGAGGGAGGGTGCTCACGTTTTCCAGGACTGTTTGGGAATAACACTAGCCACGAGGCTGGGCCGAGGAGCACCTACCTTGCTATTCGCTGTTCTGTTCCCTGCAGGCTCTTGGTCCATTACAGCAGCATGTGTAGGAGACGGAAGTCAACAAAAGAGCTCGGAGGGCACTTCTGGGTCCTCATTTCATAAGCAGATACCAACAAACAGGGGGAGGCCATAGGTGCCTGAGGTCCCTCAGTTGCCAACAGCAGACTCAGACATTCTATCTCTCTGAGCTCAAGGACCCATCCCATGAATAGCTCTGAGTTCCCATCCCATTGATTCTGTCTCCCACTTTCTGCCTGTCATGGAACCTTCTCCTGGATGTGAGTGGCTGCAGGGGACATGAGGATACAGTTCAGAATCAGGCAACGGTCTGTGAGCTGAAAGCAGGGACAGGGAGTCTGGTGCCCTCTCTAGAAAGTCCTGCCTCTGTGGCTGCTGCCTTGGGCCAGGGACCATCCTACCTGTGAGGAACACACACCTGAGTGCTCCCATCCTGCTTCCCCACATGGCCCTGAGCTCTCTGGCCTCTCCTTCGTGAGACTTACTTTTCTTGTTGGAGCACCAGCGATGAAGGAGAAAGAAGAGGAGGAGGATGAAGAGGATGATGACCACTGAGGTCCCAATCAGAACGTGCAGGTGTCTTGGGTTACCTGGAAGAAGATGAGACACCAATAAGAAGCTAATCATAGCAGTTCCTCTTTATGAATTGTCTCGCATTTCTTGATTGACAGGTAACCACGTAAAACACCTCTTTAGGACAAGCACCCAGATGGCGGGAGACCCAGCTTTCTCCTGCTTTCTCAGTTATAGCTCTCAAAGTAACCATAGAATGTGCTGAGGACACAACTACTTTAGTTGAGATGTTTGACCCCTTCAAACCTCACATTGAAATTTCACCCCCATTGTGGGAGGTTGGGCCTCTTGAGAGGTGTTTGGGTCATGGAGGTGGATCCATCATGAACAGATCAATGCTGTCCCAAGGAGACGGGGTTAGCTAGTTCCCCCTCTATTAGTTCCTGGAGAGCTGGTTGTTCAAAAGAACTTGGAAGCTCCATCGCTCCCCCTCCCCCTTGCTCCCTCTCTTGCCGTGTGATCTCTGTGGTCTCTGCACAGACAGACCCTCCTTCCCTTCTGCCAGAGTGGGAGCAGCCTGAGGCCATCACGAGAAATAGATGCTGGTGCCATGCTTCCAGTACAGCCTGCAGAACGGTGAGGCAAACCAATCTCTTTTCTTTAGAAGTTGCCCAGGCTCAAGTGTTCCTTTAGAGCAACAAAAATGGACTAAGACAGCAACGTCCTGAGATCAGGAGGAACGTCCCAGAGCAGCCTGGGCTGTCTTCCTGTTCTTCCTGGAGGAGGACGTCATGCAGTGCTTTAGCTGAGTGCTTCCTGTGGCTCCAGGGTACAAAACCCAGGCTGGGCTGCTTTCTGGCTTCCCCCAGCTACACTGCAAATGGGGTGACTCCATATGTCCCGAGCAGCTTTTCTGAGCCTTGAGGGACTGGCTCACATTGAAATGTAGGCTTCTGTTTTCACTCGCTGCTTATCTGTTAGTAATGAACCTGCCTATGTAACGTATTCTCTGTGTGTTCTGTCTCCCTGGAGTGACGGTGAGTGATAGGAATTGGCGTAGGCCCAGGTGCAGTCTAGGAGGTGTTTAGGGTCTTTTCTGGGAAGACTGCACTGGGATTGACACACAGCGAATGTGCTTTAGGATTTCTACATCCACAGCATTCTTGAGTCAAACAACTTGCGTTCTCCAAGGAAAGGAAACAAAAGTGAAATCAAGATAAAAAAGCGAAATAGAGTTATCTTATGTCCAACAGCCAGGAAATCGTGTTGAAGCCCCTGTGAAACGTCCTACTCTTTGTGATCTCGGGAGACACATGTTAGGCTGCTGTTCTACCTGAGAGGCTGGGGGAAGGACCACCCCCTCCACCATCTATTGCTTCAATACCACCTGTCCTCCTGTGAATTAGTAGGAAAGGGGAGCAGGAGCTAGTGCTGGTGCTGATCTCTCATTCCAAGATCTGGACTCACTCCAAGGAGTATTAATGTTTACCTCCCCATGGTCTATCTGAATCTCCACAGGTGATTGGAAGTAGGGGTGAAGTGGGGGATTTGAGTGAGAGGGCAAGTTTTTTTTGTGATGAACAGAGCACTTTCTCTATTCCACGATCTGTGCTGGAGGATTCAGCGGGCTTTCACATTTTCTATATGGTCTCATGCTCACAGAAAGCCAAATACGGAAGAGGTTTTAGGCTCATTGCCTAATGGATAAGACAAAGGATCAAAGAAGTAATTATAGAGAAATACAAAAATGATGATTGGAATTCAGGTGCCTTTGTCATTCGTGTGTGTTTTATTATATTTATGCATTTCTTATTTTTATTTTTTGAGACGGAGTCTCCTTGTGTCACCCAGGCTGGAGTGCAGTGATGCAATCTCCACTCACTGCAACCTCCACCTCCTGGGTTGAAGTCGTTCTCCTGCTTCATCCTCAAGAGTAGGAGCTGGGATTACAGGGATGCACCACCATGCTCGGCTAATTTTTGTATTTTTCATAGAGACAGGGTTTCACCATTTTGGCCAGGCTGGTCTGGAACTCCTGACTTCAAGTGATCCACCCGCCTTGGCCTCCTGCAGTGCTGGGAATTGCCTTTTCCACGGCCTGAGCATGGGGCCGTGGCTGAATGAGTCAGTGAGTCGAAGTGTGCGTGCATGAGCTCCGTTCTCTGTTAAGGCAAAGCTCTTGCTCTGCTGAGTCAGCCAGGGTTGCTTCATGACCAACAGTAATTCATTCCTGGGCAAGTGGAACTTCTCTAAAACACCTCGCCCTCATCAAATGTTCCCTACCCTTCCCTCTCTCAAGCCCCCAGGAATTTATCCTCCAGTTAGGAATGCAGGCAGAACAAACATTGCATTTTTCCTGAGAAGGATGTCAGATTGCCAATCATTTTTCTAGCTTGTAGGAGATCTCAGCTCCATAAAATGAGAGATTAAGAGATTTCACAGAGCCCTGTTTTGGGTCCAGATCCCTTTCGCTGTTGGAGTATCTGGAGTTTGGAGATGGTAGAAGACAGGCGTACAATGTCAGAGCTGTGAGATGCTGAGTCAACGCCTGAATCCAAGGTTTCCACCTCCCCAGGTTTCCAAAAGCGGATATAAGAGGGTTCTGTACTCACCGGTTTTGGAGCTTGGTTCAGTGGGTGAAGGCCAACTATTTGAAGGGTTTCCTAGAACATGAGACAGGAGAGAGGTGAGGAAATGAGGGTGTCTGTCCTCTACTCAGTGGAAATCTTTGAGGTTGGTTCATGGCCAACACTCTGTTATCTAATATTGGGCCCTGGGAGTCCTGGGATCCTTTTTTCCGTAATTTTTGTATGTGACGGCTACTGTCTTGAGACTTCAAGGTATAAAGAGAAAACAGGAGCATCACACTACCTGATCTCAAAATATGTTACAGAGCTGTAGTAAGCAAGACAGCATGACGTTGGCATGAAGAAAGGCACATAGAACAACGGAGCAGAATGAATAACACAGATATAATCCATGCATTTACCTCCAATGTATTTTTTGTTTTTCTTTTGAGATGGAGTCTTGCTCTGTCACCCAGGCTGGAGTGCAGAGGTGCAATCTCGGTTCACTGCCACCACAGCCTCCTGGGTTCAATCACTTCTCTTGCCTCAAACTCCTGAGTAGTGGTATTACAGGTGCTGACCACCATGCTCAGCTAATTTTTATATTTTTAGTGGAGACGATGTTTCATCACGTTGGCCAGACTAATCTTGAACTCTTGGCCTCAGGTGATCCACCCACCTCGGGCTCCCAAAGTGCTGAAATTGCAGGTGTCAGCCACCATGCCCAGCCCATCCAATGGACTTTGACAAAGGTGCCAAGAACTCACAATCAGGAAAGGACAGTCTTTTCAATAAACAGTGCAGGGAAACCTGGACATCGACATGCAGAGGAATGAAACTGCACCTCTGCCTGTCACTATACACAAAAATCAAATGAAAATGGATTAAAGATGTGAGTCTAAGGCCTGAACCTATGAAACACGTAGAAGAAAATATTGGGGAAATGCTCCAGGACGTTTGTCTGAAGGAAGACATTTTGTTTTAAACCTTCAAAACACAAGTAATCGAAGCAAAAATAGACCATTGGGATTACCTCAAACTAAGCAACTTCTGCACCGCTAAAAATAAACCAACAAAGTGAAGAGACAACCCACAGATTGGGAGCAAATATGTGCAAACTATGCATCTGAGATGGGATTAATAACTAGAAATATAAGAAGCTCAAACAACTCAATAAAACAAATGATTTAATTGAAACAGGAGCAAAAGACATGAAATTTCCCCACATACGAAAAAGTGCTCAGTATCACTCATCATCAGAGAAACACAAATTAAAATCAAAGTGAGTTTTCATCTCACCCCATTAAAATGGCTTTTAGGCCGGGCGTGGTGGCTCACGTCTGTCATCCTAGAACTTTGAGAGCCTGAGGTGGGTGAATCTCATAAGGTCGGGAGTTTGAGACCAGTCTGACCCACATGGAGAAACACTGTCTCTACTAAAAATACAAAAATTAGTCGGGCGTGGTGGCGTGTGCCTGTAATTCCAGCTACTCGGGAGGCTGAGGCAGGAGAATCGCTTGAACCTGGGAGGTGGAGGTTGTGGTGAGCCGAGATCGCACCACTGCACTCAGCCTGGGTGACAAGAGCGAAACTCCATCTCAAAATAAAATGAAATAAAATAAAATGGCTTTTAGCTGCAAGACAGGCAAAAGAAATGCTGGCAAGGTGTTAGAGAAAGGAGAATCCTGGTATCCTGTTGGTAGGAGTGTAAATTAGTACAGCCATTACGGAGAAAAGTGTGGAAGTCCTTTAAAGAACTAAAAAGAGGTTGGGTGAGGTGGATCATGCCTGTAATCCCGGCACTTTGGGAGACCGAGGCGGGCACCTCAGTTGAGGTCATGAGTTTGAGAGCAGCCCAGCCAACATGGGGAAACCGCATCTATACTAAAAAAAACAAAAAGTAGCCAGGCATGGTGGCGTGCGCCTATAATCCCTGATACTAGGGAGGCTGAGGCAGGAAAATCATTTGAACCCAGGAGGCAGAGGTTGCAATGAGCCAAGATGACATCACTTGTACTCCAGCCTGGGCACAGAGGGAAACTGTCTCAAAAACAAAAACAAAACAACAAACGAAAAACTAAAAAGAGAACTTTCATAGTATCCAGCAATTTCACTACTGGGTTTATATCCAAAGGAAAGTAAATCAATATATCGAAGTGATATCTGCACTCGTATGATTGGTGCAGCACTCTTCACAGTAGCCAAGATGAGGAGTCAACCTACCTGCCCATCAGTGGGTGAATGGATAGAGAGAATGTGGTACATTTGCATAGTGGAGACTACTCTTCCATAGAAAGAAAAACATCCTGATATTTGCAGCCACATGGATGGAACTGGAGGTCATTACAAAGATTCCCATTTCTTACCCATATACAGGAGCTAAAAGGTGGATCTCATGAAGGTAGAGAGTAGAATGGTGGCTACCAGAGGCCAGGAAGAAAAGGGTGGAGGGTAAAAAAAAATATGTGTATATATATATATATTAATGTATTTATGACCACTAGACTTTACACTTAAAAATGGTAAATGTGGCTGGGCGTGGTGGCTCATGCCTGTAATCCCAGCACTTTGGGAGGCTGATGCGGGTGGATCACGTGGTCAGGAGTTCGAGACCAGCTTGACCAACATGGTGAAACCCCCTCTCTACTAAAAATACAAAAAGTAGCCTGGCATGGTGGTGCGCGCCTGTAGCACCAGCTACTCAGGTGGCTGAGGCAAGAGAATCGCTTGAACCCAGGAGGCGGAAGTTGCAGTGAGCTGAGATTGTGCCAATGCACTCCAGCATAGGGGACAGAGCTAGACTCCGCCTCAAAAAAAAAATGTTAAAGGTGGTAAGCTATATAGGTATATTTATCCTCAATAAATATTTCTCAAACAAAAGTAAAGGGTGTAGGGGTTGCAGGTGATGACATCCCTGTGTGGGTGGGAGGCCAGGATGGGCTTCTGGGAAATGGGTAATGTTGAGGGGCTGAGGGAACCTCTGATCTTCCCAAACTGAGCCCAGTCTCCCTCCTCTGGGTCTCTCCTGACCGCTTTCTCTATCTGCCTGGGTGCCTGGAGTCCTGGCCGCAGGCCTTCATGCAGGCCATGTAGGAGGGTTTGGAGGTGCCCTGTCTGCCATCCTGTGCCCTGATCCCTCCCTCACACCCAAGCTTCGTCTTCTCTCTGCATCTGTTCATCCTTCTCTCCATCCTCAGCAGGAAGCTCCTCAGCTAAGGCTCTAGGATCATAGGACATGGGACAGCCATGGGCTTTCCTCACCTGTGACAGAAACAAGCAGTGGGTCACTCGAGTTTGACCACTCGTAGGGAGAGTCACGGAAAGAGCCGAAGCATCTGTAGGTTCCTCCGTGGGTGGCAGGGCCCAGAGGAAAGTCAGCCTGGAATGTTCCGTTGACCTTGGGCCCTGCAGAGAACCTACGTTCATGGGCCTCCCCCTCCCTGGATAGATGGTACATGTCATAGGAGCTCCGGGAGCTGCAGGACAAGGTCACGCTCTCTCCTGCCAGAACCGTGGGGCCCGGCTGGGCTGAGAGAGAAGGTTTCTCATATAGACCTGGAAGGAGAAGAGGCATTTTCCTTACGGAGGATCTTCCTTGTCACAGCTCCCTTCACCTGAGCTGAGAACTCACTCCCCTGCTCTATGACCTAATGCTCTCTCTCTCTCTCTCTCTCACCCTCCACCCCATCTCTCTTCATGTCTATTTCCTCCTTCCACCTTCTCTGTCTCTCTAGGTCTCTGACCTCGCTTCCACACCTCTAGATATGTTTTCCCTTTTTGGATTGTTTTATTCTCTCTGACTCTCCTTGGATTGGTTGACTTGATGTTACTTTTTTAAATTCTAAGTTTCTCACTTTGTGTCCTGTTCATAACTTTCTGCATATTTCTATCTATTATCTATCGATCTATCTATTTATCTATTCGGTGCCTATCTACAAATTCTCTACCTGTCATCTATATCTATATATCATCTATGTATCTATCACTTGTCTATCTATCCATCAATCATCTGTTATCTATATCTATGTATCATCTCTCTCTCTATGACTTCTGTCTGCCTCTCTATCTCTATGTATTATCTATCTGTCTTCATCATCATCATCTCTATGTCTCATCTATTAATGAATCAATCAATCATCATCTATGTATCTTTAACCTATTATCTATCATCTACCTATTTATCATCTATCTATATCTATCCATCTATCATCTGTCTTGCTCTGCCTCTCGGTCTCTCTAGTTCTCTTTGGAATCTCTGCAATTCATCCCCACATCTCCATCTTTCTATGTCCTTGTGCCTCTCCCTCAGGAGTCTAATTTTAGTGCTTTTCTCTGCTCCCTTCCATCATTCTCACCACTCCTCTGCCCTCTTTTCTCTCTCTTTATGTGTCTGTGAGTCTCTCAATCTCCTTCCTCTGGCTCATTCTCTGTGTGTTTATGTCTTTGCTTTTTGGTGTCCCTGATTTCTCTCTGTGCCTCTCAGTGATCCTTTCATATGTGGGGTTATTTGGAATGTGAGCCTCAGAATCCAGTCTGGAGACCACAAGTTCACACAGCATACAGGAGTTGGTGTTCTGGGGCCATGATATCCTGGGACGGTTACTCTCCATTACATGGAAGGCAGAGGTGTCAGAATAAACACGGCATCTGTAGGTGCCACAAGGCCTGAGGCCACAGGGCCCAACTCAGGTCATAAATATGGGTGTCCTTGGGTTCTCCTGGTAGAGAACACTTTGTGGAGGTAAAACAGAAATGAAACTTCTAACCTGTGCCAGGTCTCTGAGCAAAGTCAGCATGGAGGGACACCTCTCTCTGGGACATGTCTGTCTGTCTGTCTCCTTTAACTCCTTCTGTCTTTTCTAACTCCCGGTATGGCCCCTGTGTCTGTCCTCTGTTATGACACCTGGTCTGTACTTGTGTCTCCTGTTTCTCTGTCTCTGTTGGTACAGACCTCACCAAGTCAGTCTCTCTCCATAAGAATACCAAGCTCATCTTCCTTACAACTACCTGGGGGTTCCAAGTCGTGGATCATTCACTCTGCATCCCAATGACAATGAGAAGAATGTCCGGACACTCTCACCTGTGATGACGATGTCCAGAGGGTCACTGGGAGCTGACAACTGATGGGGGAGTGAGTAACAGAACCGTAGCATCTGTAGGTCCCTGCCAGGTCTTCCATCATGGGACCGATGGAGAAGTTGGCCTTGGAAACCCCATCATGGTGCTCTCCAGTGAGGTGCAAAGTGTCGTTAAACTTCCCTTCTCTGTGCAGAAGGAAGTGCTGAAACCTGACATCTGACCAACATTGCAGGATGACTGTCTCTTCTGATTTCACCAGGGGACCTGGGTGGGCCAGGAGGGAAGGTTTTCTGTGGACTCCTAGGAAGAGAGGTTGTGAGTTTAGAAGGTGTCTCTCTTTATCATCCCATCCATGGCACCTAGAATGAGTGAGGCTTCCCCTTGCTGGTGTCTGTCTCTCTCCTTCCTCTCTGTGTCTTCATGTTCTTTTCTGTGCCCATAACTCCTGGTGCAGGTCCTTCCATCTGTCTCCCTCCCTCTTCTCTGTCCCTCTGTCTCTAGTCGCCTCTGATTCCCTTCCCACTGGGCTTAGCCTCATCTCTTGGGGTGTTGTATCTATTTCACACTAATGTCTTTCCTGCTGTTTATGTGGGGGTGAAAGAGGAACCAGGATAGGCTGCACATCCAGCCTCTTATCAGCCTGGTTCAATCTCTTTTGGATGAATTGGAATCCTTGGCAGTAGGTATGAACTGATGAATAAGGCAGGCACCAGTGTCCACACACCCTGTTCCTGGTCGGGACTGGGAGCCACTCTTGCCATGCCTGTGCCTTCTCCATGGTGCCAGCTTCCATAGGCTGGCTCCTGGTGCTGGTTTGAGGAGTATCAACCCCTCCCTATGTGGATGGAGCCTGGTGGTGGCATCATCATCCCACACTTGCTCATCTCGGTGTAGCCAACCTTCCCCTTGTTTGGTTCCTTTAATTAATTAATTAATTATGGAGACAGAGTCTCACTCCTTCACCCCAGCTGGAGTGAAGTGGTGTGGTCTAGGGTCACTGCAACCTCTGTCTCCTGGGTTCAAGTGATTCTCCTGCCCTCAGCCTCCCAAGTCGCTAGGATTACATGCGCCTGCCACCACACCCGGCTATCCTTGTGTTGTTTCTTACCTTGTCCTTGACCTGGGTTCCAGTGTTGGTTTCCTGTTGCTGCTGTAGAAAATTATCAGAAGCATGGCAGCAGGAGAGAGCACACTGACCCATTTCACTACTGGAGACAGAAATAGGACCCTGTTTTTCCTGGGCTAAAATCAAGGCATCTGCAGGGCTTCGTTCCCTCTGGAGACTCTGGAGAATCATTTCCTTGACTTTTCCAACCTCTACAGGCCACCTGCATTCATGGCTCCTGGCCTTCCTCCACCTTCAAAGCTGGTGGAGTCTCCCATTGCGCTGCTCTAATCCCCACTCCCCTCTTCCTCCTCCTTTCATGTGGACCCTTGTGATTACACTGAGCCCAGCGGGACAGTCCAGGCTGTCTCCCCATCTCAAGGTCAACTCATCAACAACCTGAGCTCCATCTTCCCCTTCAGTTCCTTCCCCTATAACATAAATAGTCACAGACTCCAGGGATTAGAATGTAGTCATCACTGGGGACAATTATTCTTCCCACCACAGCACCCATTTCCCTGTATTCAATCCCCCTTTACCCCAAATATAGTCAGGGCCTGGGTGATGGGACCCTCAAGGACACGCCCACCAGAAGCTCTGGGATTCAGGAGGTGGGAAAGGAGAATCCAAGACAGGAGCCCTCTGACCTGTGGCCATGATCACCAGGGTGTTGCTGGGTGCCGACCACCCACTGGGGTAGTGTGGGTGTGAACCCCGACATCTGTACGTCCCTGTGTGTGCTGGGGTCACAGGGCCCATGAAAAGGCTCTTCCAGAATATTCTGTTGTAGAGCTCAGTGCCAGGCACCCCATCTTCCTTTTACAGACTGAAGTTGTTAAACCCAAGATAAGAATGACACCGAAGAATCACATGTCCTGGAGGCACCACAGAGCTGGGCCAGGCAGACAGCAAGGGCTTGTCCTGACCACCTTGGGGAGAAGGAGGCACCGCCTTAGAGAGGAGGATGTGGAGCCACCCCTCCCTCCCTGTGCTCTGAAGATTCTCCTCGCTTTCCAAGTTTCTATGGCTGCTATCACACCTTGGTGCCCAGGGCTAAAGGAAGGACCCATCCCGCAAACACAAGGTGTCTCCCTACAACAAAAGTGTCAGCTGAGAACTTTGAGCAAGTGCTGAGTAAGAGACTCCTACTAGATTTTAATACTGTAAGATTACTCACATAAAACAACACAGGGTAGACATGGGGTGGAGGGCATGTCTTTGAGAATGGAATATCAGCAGATGCCTGAATGAAAATAAGCAACTGAGCCCCCATCAGAGGATTTGGAATGTCAGGGCCATGGCTGTGGTTTCCCACCTCTTCTGGTGGAGTGACAGCAGCCACACTGCAGCCCCTACCGTCATGGAAACGCTGAAGTGTGAGTAACACCTTTGTCCTCAGAGGATCTGCTGTTCCTACCACTTCCCCACCACGCACCCCAGCTTTGAGCACCCCAGTCTAACCCTGGTCCCCACAGAACTTGACTCTGCCAAGGGAATGAAAGGCCAGGGAGGCGAGGTCGGAACTGTGGGCCGAGCACCCCAGGGTCCCCTCTTCCTAGTTTATGAGAGGCTCCCTGACAGGACTTCCCTCCTGTTTCAGGAAAATCCTCTTATGTGGGGAGATGACACCCTAAGGTTTGGAGAAGGACTCACCCTCATGTGGCCAGGCCCCCTGCAGCAAGAAGAACCCTGGAAAGAAAGATCATGATGGACGATCCATCTGCAGGCAAACCAGCCCTCCCTTGCTGCCCTCACTGGGCTGTGAGTCTTGGTAGGCAGGCCCTTCCTGGACTGAAGTTAAACTCACCCTCAGTGCCTACCTGCACCCAAGAACAGGGCTGTCGGCTGTGCAGAGACCCAGCCTCCAAGCCCAGATCCCCACCACAAGCCCATATCCCCACCACAAGCCCATATCTCCACTCCAGGCCAATATTTCCACCCTAGGCCTGTATCTCCACTCCAGGCCCATATCTCCACTCCAGGCCGATATTTCCATCATAGGCCCATATCGCCAATCCAGGCCCATATCGCCAATCCAGGCCAAGATCTCCACTGTAAGCCCATATCTCCAATCCAGGCCCATATCTCCACTCCAGGCTCAGATCTCCAACCTAGGCCCATATCTCCAATCCAGGCCCATATCTCCACACCAGGCCCATATCTCTACTGAAGGCCAGTAACTCCACCTCCAGGCCCATATCTCCACTCCAGGCCCAGATCTCCACCCCAAGCCCATATCTCCACCCCAGGCCCATATCTCTACTGAAGGCCCGTAACTCCACCTCCAGGCCCATATCTCCACCCCAGGCCCAGATCTCCACCCCAAGCCCATATCTCCACTCTAGGCCCATATCTCCTCTCCAGTCCCATATCTCCACAACCAGGCCCATATCTCCATCCTAGGCCCATATTTCCACTCTAGGCCCAGATATCCACCTCTAGGCCCATATCTCCACTCCTGGCCCAAATCTCCACTCCAGGCCCATATCTCTACTATAGGCCTATAACTCCACCTCCAGGCCCATATCTCCACTCCAGGCTCCTATCTCCCCTCCAGGTTCCTATCGGCACTCCAGGCCCAGATCTCCACTTCTAGGCCCATCACTCCATCTCTAGGCCCATATATCCACTCCAGGCCCAGATCTCCACTCCAGGCCCACAACTCCACCTCCAGGCCTATATCTCCACCTCTGGGCCCAGATCTCCAACCCCACACTCCCTTCCTCTATTCCCTTCCAGGACTCACCAACACACGCCATGCTGACGACCGTGAGCGACATGGTGCTGCCGGTGCAGACAGGCGGCCGTGCCCCAGCTCAGCTCAGCAGCGCACAGGATGTTATTTGGCGCCCTGCCCATGCAGTTTACATGTTGACCACATCATGGGAGGGTGACGTACGCAGGCTCATTCTACCTTGCATGAGGCCCAGTGGGTGCTCGCTCAAGAGCGGAACACGGCTTCCTGGAAATTGTTCTCACTAGAATTTACACCTAGCGTCCTTCACTATGACCAACTCAAAACACGTCTCAGATCCAACCTCCTGAACACGAGATGCCTAAAATCTGTGCTAACGTGAAAGACTTTTCATGTATTTTTATTGTTTTTATCTGAGATTCAAACTCTTCTTCATGTGTAATATGCAAAATATTTAATAGGTATTATTAAGGTTTTCAGAGTCATTGTGACTAATAAACCATTAGAATTTTTCATGCTTGTATTTCTAGTATTACAGCAGAACCAGTTAAAATGATTTAAATTCCCAGGGAAGGATTATGCAATTATTTACAATCTTAGAATTGTACTTTATCAGCAAAAACCACACCTGTAAATTCTGGAGTTTTGTAGTTTAATCTAAAATTTGTCTCATGACCCAAGATTCCAGAGTCCCAACTCTGGAGTTTGATCTCTCTCTGTCTCTCTGCCTCCCTCATTTTAAATTTTACAGAAATATCCAGTAACATAATGCTATAGAAAATCAAGTTTCCCCAGCACGTCGGGAAGCCGAGGTGGGCGGATCAACTGAGATGAGGGGATTGAGAGCAGCCTGGCCAACATAGTGAAACCGTGTCTCTGCTAAAAATCCAAAAATTAGCCATGCCTGGTGGCAGGCACCTGTAACGCCAGCTACTCAAGAGGCTGAGGCACGAGAATCGCTTGAACCTGGGAGGCGGAGGTTGCAGTGAGCTGAGATTGTGTCACTGCAGTCCAGCCTGGGCGACAGAGCAAGACTCCGCCTCAAGAAAAAAAAAAGCAAATAGCCTATAATAACAAATTAGAGGGCTCTGGCTACTAAATTTAAAGGGTTCTATAAGGCTACATAAAGTGTAGCATCATCAAGTGTGTGGACACAGACAGCCCCTTAGCAGAAACTGTCTAAAATACATCCATGTACACACAGTCCCTTTAGAGTTGACAAAGGCTGCCGTGTGGTTTAAGGTGGCATAGAATGTCTTCTCAATAAATAATATTAAACCAATGGGTTACACCTAGTAAAAAATAAATCTAACTCACACTATAAAAACACTTCTTAGTTTTTATCTAGTTGTACATTTTTTGATTTATATTTAAATTTGAGAAATAAAAGTCATATACGGTCATCCTTCACTATTCGTGGGTGATTGGTTTCGAGATCTCCACTCAGATACCAAAATCTGTAGATGCTCAAGCCTCTTATATGAAATGGCACAGCGCTTGCAAATAACATATGCACATCCTCCTGTATACATGAAATCATCTCTTGATTACTTATAATTCCTGATACAGCCTACACACAGCTTCATTTGTGTCCATTCAACATAGTTATGAGTTTTGGAACTCTGTGGATATTTTCTCTGAATATTTTTGATTTATACTTTGTTCAATAAAGACCTGTAAACCCCACAGATACGGAGGAGTGACCGTATATTTATAGTATGAAAGATGATGTGTTGATATGTGTCCCCATGGAGATGAGACTAACAAGGCCTATGACTCTACAAATGTTTCATCGTGGAATGACTCTGCCAGCTTTCCAGGTCTGCAGAGAGTAACAATGTCACTTGTTCATGTGATTCCCGATCCTTGGAACCTCCTATGTGCTGCATCTTTGGATGGAAATTGGAGTCCCAGAGACAAATGAGGCTCCACACTGCTTCCAGAAGCTCAGAGTCCAGAGGTGAGAACCCGGTGGAGAACAGATGGGATTATATGGACATGGTACTGATAACACCGGAAGCCTTAGGCAAGAAAAGAGTCCCATTACCTAAACCATGAGGGCAGACATGTTTATTTGAAGGAGGGAAAACTACATTGAAATTATTTTAAAAAATATATAAGTTTTACTGCTGACAGAAGGCTGAAAGCTAGTCTGAGGGGAGGTGGAACAGCATGAGGGAAGGTGGAACAGCACGTGTCTAAGTGCCGTGTTAAGAGGGAGCCTCTTGTATGTTTGGAATTGTGAGTTCCTCAGTGTGATTGCAGCCTCAAGTAGACTAGGAAGTAAGCCAGTTAGGTTGGAGAGGTGGGCAGGGGTCAAGTGAAATGGAGAATTGTGGGCTAAGCAAAGGAGTGTGTTTTCTCTCCAGCAGGCAGTGGGGACCTTAGACATTTGTAAGCAAGGGAGAGGCACGTTCAGATTTGTGGTGTGAGGAAGAGCGATGCCCTAAGATGCAGACTCACGCCTTCAGATTCCAGCTGCTGGTACATTGGAGCTGGCAACCCAGTTTTGAGACAGGGCTGTTGTCTCCCTAGAAGATCCCCTCAAGGCCTGACTGTGGTGCTCATGGGCAGGAGACAACTTTGGATCAGGGCTCAGCATTTGGAAGTTCCGTGTACACGATGATATCTGTTGGGGGTGTCTTGGGCCTCTGAGAAGGGCGAGTGATTTTTCTCTGTGTGAAAACGCAGTGATTCAACTGTGCATATGTCACCTCCTGAGGGTCTTGTTCATCAGAGTCCTGGAGAGAGGGAAATGCTGAGTGAGGGAGGGTGCTCACATTTTCCAGGACTCTTTGGGAATAACACTAGCCACGAGGCTGGGCCGAGGAGCACCTACCTCCCTGTTCACTGTTCTGTTCCCTGCAGGCTCTTGGTCCATTACAACAGCATCTGTAGAAGACGGAAGTCAACAAAACAGCTCAGAGGGCACTTCTGGGCCCTCATTTCATAAGCAGATACCAACATACAGGGGGAGACCATAGGAGCCTGAGGTCCCTCAGTTGCCAACAGCAGACTCAGACATTCTATCTCTCTGAGCTCAAGGACCCATCCCATGAATAGCTCTGAGTTCCCATCCCATTGATTCTGTCTCCCACTTTCTGCCTGTCATGGAACCTTCTCCTGGATGTGAGTGGCTGCAGGGGACATGAGGATACAGTTCAGAATCAGGCAATGGTCTGTGAGCTGAAGGCAGGGACAGGGAGTCTGGTGCTCTCTCTAGAAAGTCCTCCCTCTGTGGCTGCTGCCTTGGGCCAGGGACCATCCTGTCTGTGAGGAACACACACCTGAGTGCTCCCATCCTGCTTCCCCACATGGCCCTGAGCTCTCTGGCCTCTGCTTCGTGAGACTTACTTTTTTTGTTGCAGCACCAGCGATGAAGGAGAAAGAAGAGGAGGAGGATGAAGAGGATGATGACCACTGAGGTCCCAATCAGAACATGCAGGTGTCTGGGGTTACCTGGAAGAAGAGGAGACACCAATAAGAAGCTAATCATAGCAGTTCCTCTTTATGAATTGTCTCACATTTCTTGATTGACAGGTAACCACATACAACACCCCTTTAGGACAAGCACCCAGATGGAGGGAGACCCAGCTTTCTCCTGCTTTCTCAGTTATAGCTCTCATAGTAACCATAGAACGTGTTGAGGATACAACTACTTTAGTTGAGATGTTTGACCCCTTCAAACCTCACATTGAAATTTCACCCCCACTGTGGGAGGTTGGGCCTCTTGAGAGGTGTTTGGGTCATGGAGGTGGATCCATCATGAACAGACCAATGCTGTCCCAAGGAGACGGGGTTAGCAAGTTCCCCTTCTATTAGTTCCTGGAGAGCTGGTTGTTCAAAAGAGCTTGGAAGCTCCATCGCTCCCCCTCCCCCTTGCTCCCTCTCTTGCCGTGTGATCTCTGTGGTCTCTGCACAGACAGACCCTCCTTCCCTTCTGCCAGAGTGGGAGCAGCCTGAGGCCGTCACGAGAAATAGATGCTGGTGCCACGCTTCCAGTACAGCCTGCAGAACTGTGAGGCAAACCAATCTCTTTTCTCTAGAAGTTACCCAGGCTCAAGTGTTCCTTTAGAGCAACAAAAATGGACTAAGACAGCAACGTCCTGAGATCAGGAGGAACGTCTCAGAACAGCCTGGGCTGTCTTCCTGTTCTTCCTGGAGGAGGACGTCATGCAGTGCTTTAGCTGAGTGCTTCCTGTGGCTCCACAGTACAAAACCCAGGCTGGGCTGCTCTCTGGCTTCCCCCAGCTACACTGCAAATGGGGTGACTCCATATGTCCCGAGTAGCTTTTCTGAGCCTTGAGGGACTGGCTCACATTGAAATGTAGGTTTCTGTTGTCACTCGCTGCTTATCTGTTAGTAATGAACCTGCCTGTGTAATGTATTCTCTGTGTGTTCTGTCTCCCTGGAGTGACGGTGAGTGATAGGAATTGGCATAAGCCCAGGTGCAGTCCAGGAGGTATTTAGAGTCTTCTCTGGGAAGACTGCACTGGGATTGATACACAGCGAATGTGCTTTAGGATTTCTACATCCACAGCATTCTTGAATCAAACAACTTGCATTCTCCAAGAAAAGGAAACAAAAGTGAAATCAAGATAAAAAAAGCTAAGTAGAATTCTCTTATGTCAAATGGCCAGGAAATAGTGTTGAAGCCCGTGTGAAACGTGCTACTCTTTGTGATCTCGGGAGACACATGTTAGGCTGCTGTTCTACCCGAGAGGCTGGGGGAAGGACCACCCCCTCGGCCATCTATTGCTTCAATACCACCTGTCCTCCTGTGAATTAGTAGGAAAGGGGAGCAGGAGCTAGTGCTGGCACTGATCTCTGATTCCAAGATCTGGACTCACTCCAAGGAGTATCAATGTTTACCTCCCCATAGCCTATCTGAATCTCCACAGGTGATTGGAAGTAGGGGTGAGGTGGGGGATTTGGGTGAGTGGGCAAGTTTTTTGTTGCGATGAACAGAGCACTTTCTCTATTCCACGATCTGTGCTGGAGGATTCTGAGGGCTTTCACATTTTCTATGTGATCTCATTCTCACAGAAAGCCAAATAGGGAAGAGGTTTTAAGCTCATTGCCTAATGGATAAGATAAAGGATCAAAGAAGTAATTATAGAGAAATAGAAAAACGATGATTGGAATTCAGGTGCCTTTGTCATTCGTGTGTGTTTTATTATATTTATGTATTTCTTATTTTTATTTTTTGAGATAGAGTCTCCTTGTGTCCCCCAGGCTGGAGTGCAGTGATGCAATCTCCACTCACTGCAACCTCCACCTACTGGGTTGAAGTCATTCTCCTGCTTCATCCTCCAGAATAGGAGCTGGGATTACAGGGATGCACCATCGTGCTCGGCTAATTTTTGTATTTTTAGTAGAGATAGGGTTTCACCACGTTGGCCAGGCTGGTCTGGAACTCCTGACTTCATGGAATCCACCCACCTTGGCCTCCTGCAGTGCTAGGTTACAGGCGTGAGCCACTGTTCACAGACTTGTATATTATGCTATAATAAGTCTCTTCATTTCCACCACCACTCATATATCTGTCACTCCTTTGCCAGGTATTGATTTATGTGTAGGATGAATAAATCTCAGAAAGAAATTAATTAAGCGAGGATTAAACAAGTAGGAAAATCAAACCCAGTAAGCGTTTCCAGTCAATGATTCTACCTCACAAACATATCTTATATCCATCTACTTCATTCATTTAGTGTCTAAATCAGCACCACATTTCACCAGTGGGGTGGCAATTGCCTTTTCCACGGTCTCCTAGATTCCAGTTATGCAACTGAGCCTCCCTTATTTTCATGTCAGTCATATTAATCATGTAGGGATTCCTGGTTACCCCGAGGTGAATCCAATGGCTGTGAGTGTCAAACACACACTCCTTGTTGCTCCTTAGTTTCCTGTGTACCCAGTGTGCTCTCCGTCTCTCTACAGTCGTCTTGTCATTCTCCCCACATCATTCCCAGCATTTGAGGCAGAGCCTCTTCCTTCCACATCAGATTGTTTTCACCTTTGTGCCTTCACGGCTGACAGCTGTGTGTGCAAAATCCTTCCGCCAATCTTTCAGGGGTTCAATCCGTGTTTTTCATTAATGTCACAAATATCTGAATAGTGAGACCTTCTTTGTCACCTGAAATCATACACTCAGCATTATCTATTATTGATTTTGAATTCTGGCTGGGCACAGTGGCTCACGCCTGTAGTCCCATTACTTTGGCATGCTGAGACGGTCGGATCACTTGAGGTTGGGAGTTTCAGACAAGCTTGGCCAACGTGGTGAAACATCCTCTCTACAAAAAATATACAAAAAGAATTAGCCGGGCACGGTGGCAGTTGCCTGTAATCCCAGCTACTCGAGAGGCGGAGGCAGGAGAATCACTTGAATCCAGGAGACGCAGGTTGCAGTGAGCCAAGATCGTGACACTGCACTGTAGCCTGGAAGACAGAGGGCGACTCTGTCTCAATAAACAAAAGAACAAACAAAAAATAGATTTCATGCACAGATGCTTCCCAATGGATCATTCATTTATAGATCCACTTGTGCATTCATTTTCTGCCCTCCCATTTAACCATCTGCAATATCAGTGTCCCAAGGGCAGAAGCCAAATGCATCTTGTTCACCGTTTGTGGAAGGCAGGAGAATGCTGTCCCACCCCAAAATGTCCCTGTCCTAGCCTCCATAGCTTGTGAATATGTTATTTTACATGGAAAGGAGGAATGAAGATTGTAGATGGAATTGCGGTTGCTAATCAGCTGAACTTAAAACAAGGGTATCCTGGATGATTTCCAGGAGATTATGAGGGATTTTCATCTTGGTGAACCCAATAGAATCCCCAAGTTTTCAAAAGATAAGGAAGAAGGGAGAGCAGCATTCAGAGAAAGAGGTGTGGTAAGGAAGAAGGCACTGAGTGATGCCATGTGAGATGTGACCAGTCTTTGTGGGCTTTGAGGAAGGAGGAAGGGGAACAGGAGCCAAGGAACTGGGAGCCTTTAGAAGCTGGGATAAGTGAGAAGCAGATTCTTGCCTGGAATCCTCAGAGGGAAGGCAGCCTTGCTGTCACCTTGATTTTAGCCCAGTAAGATGCACTTCCTACTTTGAGCTACAGCACTGTAAGATAATTAAAAAACCGTTTTGTTTTCACCCACGAATCTTGTGGAAATTTGTTATGGCAACAATAGGAAAAGGTTCCGCACTGCACAGCCTGAGCATGGGGCCGTGGCTGAATGAGTCAGTGAGTCGAAGTGTGCGTGCATGAGCTCCGTTCTCTGTTACGGCAAGGCTGTTGCTCTGCTGAGTCAGCCAGGGTTGCTTCATGACCAACAGTAATTCATTCCTTGGCAAGTGGAACTTCTCTAAAACACCTCGCCCTCATCAGATGTTCCCTTCCCTTCCCTCTCTCAAGCCCCCAGGAATTTATCCTCCAGTTAGGAATGCAGGCAGAACAAACATTGCATTTTTCCTGAGAAGGATGTCAGATTGGCAATCATTCTTCTAGCTTGTAGGAGGTCTCAGCTCCATAAAATGAGAGATTAAGAGATTTCACTGAGCCCTAGGTTGGGCCCAGATCCCTTTCGCTGTTGGAGTATCTGGAGTTCGGAGATGGTAGAAGACAGGCGTACAATGTCAGAGCTGCGAGATGCTGAGTCAATGCCTGCATCGAAGGTTTCTACCTCCCCAGGTTTCCAAAAGCGGATATAAGAGGGTTCTGTACTCACCGGTTTCGGAGCTTGGTTCAGTGGGTGAAGGCCAACTATTTGAAGGGTTTCCTAGAACACGAGACAGGAGAGAGGTGAGGAAATGAGGGTGTCTGTCCTCTACTCAATGGAAATCTTTGAGGTTGGTTCATGGCCAACACTCTGTTATCTAATATTGGGCCCTGGGAGTCCTGGGATCCTTTTTTCCGTAATTTTTGTATGTGACGCCCACTGTCTTGAGACTTCAAGGTATAAAGAGAAAACAGGAGCATCACACTACCTGATCTCAAAATATGTTACAGAGCTGTAGTAAGCAAAACAGCATCACATTGGCATAAAGAAAGGCACGTAGAACAATGGAGCAGAATGAAGAACACAGATATAATCCATGCATTTACCTCCAATGTTTTTTTCTTTTTTCTTTTGAGATGGAGTCTCGCTCTGTCACCCAGGCTGGAGTGCAGAGGTGCAATCTCGGTTCACTGCCACCACAGCCTCCTGGGTTCAATCAATTCTCTGGCCTCAAACTCCTGAGTAGTGGTATTACAGGTGCTGACCACCATGCTCAGCTAATTTTTATATTTTTAGTGGAGACAATGTTTCATCACGTCGGCCAGACTAATCTTGAACTCCTGGCCTCAGGTGATCCACCCGCCTTGGGCTCCCAAAGTGCTGAAATTGCAGGTGTCAGCCACCATGCCCAGCCCATCCAATGGACTTTGACAAAGGTGCCAAGAACTCACAATCAGGAAAGGACAGTCTTTTCAATAAACAGTGCAGGGAAACCTGGACATCTACATGCAGAGGAATGAAACTGCACCTCTACCTGTCACTATACACAAAACTCAAATGAAAATGGATTAAAGATGTGAGTCTAAGGCCTGAACCTATGAAACACGTAGAAGAAAATATTGGGGAAATGCTCCAGGACATTTGTCTGAAGGAAGACATTTTGTTTTAAACCTTCAAAACACAAGTAATCGAAGCAAAAATAGACCATTGGGATTACCTCAAACTAAGCAACTTCTGCACCGCTAAAAATAAACCAACAAAGTGAAGAGACAACCCACAGATTGGGAGCAAATATGTGCAAACTATGCATCTGAGATGGGATTAATAACTAGAAATATAAGAAGCTCAAACAACTCAATAAAACAAACGATTTAATTGAAAAAGGAGCAAAACACATGAAATTTCCCCACATACTAAAAAGTGCTCAGTTTCACTCATCATCAGAGAAACACAAATTAAAATCAAAGTGAGTTTTCATCTCACCCCATTAAAATGGATTTTAGGCCGGGCGTGGTGGCTCACGTCTGTCATCCTAGACCTTTGAGAGCCTGAGGTGGGTGAACCTCATAAGGTCGGGAGTTTGAGACCAGTCTGACCCACATGAAGAAACACTGTCTCTACTAAAAATACAAAATTTAGTTGGGCGTGGTGGCGTGTGCCTGTAATTCCAGCTACTCGGGAGGCTGAGGCAGGAGAATCGCTTGAACCTGGGAGGTGGAGGTTGTGGTGAGCCGAGATCGCACCACTGCACTCCAGCCTGGGTGACAAGAGCGAAACTCCATCTCAAAATAAAATGAAATAAAATAAAATGGCTTTTAGCTGCAAGACAGGCAAAGGAAATCCTGCCAAAGTGGTAGAGAAAGGAGAACCCTAATACCCTGTTGGTAGGAGTGTAAATTAGTACAGCCTTTACGGAGAAAAGTGTGGAAGTCCTTTAAAGAACTAAAAAGAGGTTGGGTGAGGTGGATCATGCCTGTAATCCCGGCACTTTGGGAGACCGAGGCGGGCACCTCAGTTGAGGTCATGAGTTTGAGAGCAGCCCAGCCAACATGGGGAAACCCCATCTATACTAAAAAAAACAAAAAGTAGCCAGGCATGGTGGCGTGCACCTGTAATCCCAGCTACTAGGGAGGCTGAGGCAGGAAAATCATTTGAACCCAGGAGGCGGAGGTTGCAATGAGCCAAGATGACTTCACTTGTACTCCAGCCTGGGCACAGAGGGAAACTGTCTCAAAAACAAAAACAAAACAACAAACGAATAACTAAAAAGAGAACTTTCATAGTATCCAGCAATTTCACTACTGGGTTTATATCCAAAGGAAAGTAAATCAATATATCGAAGTGATATCTGCACTCGTATGATTGGTGCAGCACTGTTCACAGTAGCCAAGATGTGGAGTCAACCTACCTGCCCATCAGTGGATGAATGGATAGAGAGAATGTAGTACATACGCACAGTGGAGACTACTCATCCATAGAAAGAATAACATCCTGATATTTGCAGCCACATGGATGGAACTGGAAGTCATTACAAAGATTCCCATTTCTCACCCATATACAGAGCTAAAAGGTGGATCTCATGAAGGTAGAGAGTAGAATGGTGGCTTCCAGAGGCCAGGAATAAAAGGGTGGAGGGTAAAAAAAAAAAAAAAAATATATATATATATATATATATATATATATATATATATATGTTTATATATGTGTGTGTGTGTGTATATATATATATATATATATATATATAAATGTATTTATGACCACTAGACTTTACACTTAAAAATGGTAAATGTGGCTGGGCGTGGTGGCTCATGCCTGTAATCCCAGCACTTTGGGAGGCAGATGCGGGTGGATCACGTGGTCAGGAGTTGGAGACCAGCTCGACCAACATGGTGAAACCCCCTCTCTACTAAAAATACAAAAAGTAGCCTGGCGTGGTGGTGCGCGCCTGTAGCACCAGCTACTCAGGTGGCTGAAGCAGGAGAATCACTTGAACCCAGGAGGCGGAAGTTGCAGTGAGCTGAGATTGTGCCACTGCACTCCAGCATAGGGGACAGAGCTAGACTCTGCCTCAAAAAAAAAAAAAATGTTAAAGGTGGTAAGCTATATAGGTATATTTATCCTCAATAAATATTTCTTCAAACAAAAGTAAAGGGTGTAGGGGTTGCTGGTGATGACATCCCTGTGTGGGTGAGAGGCCAGGATGGGCTTCTGGGAAATGGGTAATGTTGAGGGGCTGAGGGAACCTCTGATCTTCCCAAACTGAGCCCAGTCTCTCTCCTCTGGGTCTCTCCTGACCGTTTTCTCCATCTGCCTGTGTGCCTGGAGCCCTGGCCGCGGGCCTTCATGCAGGCCGTGTAGGAGGGTTTGGAGGTGCCCTGTCTGCCATCCTGTGCCCTGATCCCTCCCTCACACCCAAGCTTCGTCTTCTCTCTGCATCTGTCCATGCTTCTCTCCATCATCAGCAGGAAGCTCCTCAGCTAAGGCTCTAGGATCATAGGACATGAGACAGATATGGGGTTTCCTCACCTGTGACAGAAACAAGCAGTGGGTCACTCGAGTTTGACCACTCGTATGGAGAGTCACGGAAAGAGCCGAAGCATCTGTAGGTTCCTCCGTGGGTGGCAGGGCCCAGAGGAAAGTCGGCCTGGAATGTTCCGTTGACCTTGGGCCCTGCAGAGAACCTACGTTCATGGGCCTCCCCCTCCCTGGATAGATGGTACATGTCATAGGAGCTCCGGGAGCTGCAGGACAAGGTCACGCTCTCTCCTGCCAGAACCGTGGGGCCCGGCTGGGCTGAGAGAGAAGGTTTCTCATATAGACCTGGAGGAGAAGAGGCATTTTCCTTACGGAGGATCTTCCTTGTCACAGCTCCCTTCACCTGAGCTGAGAACTCACTCCCCTGCTCTATGACCTAATGCTCTCTCTCTCTCTCTCTCTCACCCTCCACCCCATCTCTCTTCATGTCTATTTCCTTCTTCCACCTTCTCTGTCTCTCTAGGTCTCTGACCTCGCTTCCCCACCTCTAGATATGTTTTCCCTTTTTGGATTCTTTTATTCTCTCTGACTCTCCTTGGATTGGTTGACTTGATGTTACTTTTTTAAATTCTAAGTTTCTCACGTTGTGTCCTGTTCATAACTTTCTGCATATTTCTATCTATTATCTGTCGATCTATCTATTTATCTATTCGGTGCCTATCTACAAATTCTCTACCTGTCATCTATATCTATATATCATCTATGTATCTATCACTTGTCTATCTATCCATCAATCATCTGTTATTTATATGTATGTATCATCTCTCTCTCTATGATTTCTGTCTGCCTCTCTATCTGTACGTATTATCTGTCTTCATCATCATCATCTCTATGTATTATCTATTAATGAATCAATCAATCATCATCTATGTATCTTTAACCTATTATCTATCATCTACCTATTTATCATCTATCTATATCTATCCATCTATCATCTGTCTTGCTCTGCCTCTCGGTCTCTCTAGTTCTCTTTGGAATCTCTGCAATTCATCCCCACATCTCCATGTTTCTATGTCCTTGTGCCTCTCTCTCAGGACTCTAATTTTAGTGCTTTTCTCTGCTCCCTGCCATCATTCTCACCACTCCTCTGCCCTCTTTTCTCTCTCTTTATGTGTCTGTGAGTCTCTCAATCTCCTTCCTCTGGCTCATTCTCTGTGTGTTTATGTCTTTGCTTTTTGGTGTTCCTGATTTTTCTCTGTGCCTCTCAGTGATCCTTTCATATGTGGGGTTATTTGGAATGTGAGCCACAGAATCCAGTCTGGAGACCACAAGTTCACACAGCATACAGGGGTTGGTGTTCTGGGGCCATGATATCCTGGGACGATTACTCTCCATTACATGGAAGGCAGAGGTGTCAGAATAAACATGGCCTGTAGGTGCCACAAGGCCTGAGGCCACAGGGCCCAACTCAGGTCATAAATATGGGTGTCCTTGGGTTCTCCTGGTAGAGAACACTTTGTGGAGGTAAAACAGAAATGAAACTTCTAACCTGTGCCAGGTCTGTGAGCAAAGTCAGCATGGAGGGACACCTCTCTCTGGGACATGTCTGTCTGTCTGTCTCTTTTAACTCTTTCTGTCTTTTCTAACTCCCTGTATGGCCCCTGTGTCTGTCCTCTGTTATGACACCTGGTCTGTACTTGTGTCTCCTGTTTCTCTGTCTCTGTTGGTACAAACCTCAGCAAGTCAGTCTCTCTCCATAAGAATACCAAGCTCATCTTCCTTACAACTACCTGGGGGTTCCAAGTCGTGGATCATTCACTCTGCATCCCAATGACAATGAGAATGTCCGGACACTCTCACCTGTGATGACGATGTCCAGAGGGTCACTGGGAGCTGACAACTGATAGGGGGAGTGAGTAACAGAACCGTAGCATCTGTAGGTCCCTGCAAGGTCTTGCATCATGGGACCGATGGAGAAGTTGGCCTTGGAGACCCCATCATGGTGCTCTCCAATGAGGTGCAAAGTGTCCTTAAACTTCCCTTCTCTGTGCAGAAGGAAGTGCTGAAACCTGACATCTGACCAACATTGCAGGATGACTGTCTCTTCTGATTTCACCAGGGGACCTGGGTGGGCCAGGAGGGAAGGTTTTCTGTGGACTCCTAGGAAGAGAGGTTGTGAGTTTAGAAGGTGTCTCTCTTTATCATCCCATCCATGGCACCTAGAATGAGTGAGGCTTCCCCTTGCTGGTGTCTGTCTCTCTCCTTCCTCTCTGTGTCTTCATGTTCTTTTCTGTGCCCTTAACTCCTGGTGCAGGTCCTTCCATCTGTCTCCCTCCCTCTTCTCTGTCCCTCTGTCTCTAGTAGCCTCTGATTCCCTTCCCACTGGGCTGAGCCTCATCTCTTGGGGTGTTGTATCTATTTCACACTAATGTATTTCCTGCTGTTTATGTGGGGGTGAAAGAGGAACCAGGATAGGCTGCACATCCAGGCTCTTATCAGCCTGGTTCAATCTCTTTTGGATGAATTGCAATCCTTGGCAGAAGGTATGAACTGATGAATAAGGCAGGCACCAGTGTCCACACACCCTGTTCCTGGTGGGGACTGGGAGCCACTCTTGCCATGCCTGTGCCTTCTCCATGGTGCCAGCTTCCATAGGCTGGCTCCTGGTGCTGGTTGGAGGAGTATCAACCCCTCCCTATGTGGATGGAGCCTGGTGGTGGCATCATCATCCCACCCTTGCTGATCTCAGGGTAGCCAACCTTCTCCTTGTTTGGTTTCTTTAATTAATTAATTAATTATGGATACAGAGTCTCACTCCTTCACCCAGGCTGG
Organism: Homo sapiens; assembly: GCF_000001405.40. Lineage (NCBI taxonomy): Eukaryota > Metazoa > Chordata > Mammalia > Primates > Hominidae > Homo > Homo sapiens. Next base: position 42,874 of record NW_016107307.1, on the reverse strand, counting down.
AGTGAAGTGGTGTGGTCTAGGCTCACTGCAACCTCTGTCTCCTGGGTTCAAGTGATTCTCCTGCCCTCAGCCTCCTGAGTCGCTAGGATTACATGCACCTGCCACCATGCCTGGCTTTCCTTGGGTTGTTTCTTAACTTGTCCTTGACCTGGGTTCCAGTGTTGGTTTCCTGTTGCTGCTGTAGAAAATTATCAGAAGCATGGCAGCAGGAGAGACCACACTGACACCTTCCAGTACTGGAGACAGAAATTGGACCCTATTTTTCCTGGGCTAAAATCAAGGCATCTGCAGGGCTTTGTTCCCTCTGGAGACTCTGGAGAATCAGTTCCTTGACTTTTCCAGCCTCTATAGGCCACCTGCATTCATGGATCTTGGCCTTCCTCCACCTTCAAAGCTGGTGAAGACTTCCACTGGACTGCTCTAATCCCCACTCCCCTCTTCCTCCTCCTTTCATGTGCACCCTTGTGATTACACTGAGCCCAGTGGGACAGTCCAGGCTGTCTCCCCATGAGCTCCATCTTCCCCTTCAGTCCCTTCCCCTATAACATAAATAGTCACAGACTCCAGGGATTAGAATGTAGTCATCACTGGGGACAATTATTCTTCCCACCACAGCACCCATTTCCCTGTATTCAATCCCCCTTTACCACAAATACAGTCAGGGCCTGCGTGATGGGACCCTCAAGGACATGCCCAACAGAAGCTCTGGGATTCAGGAGGTGGGACAAGGAGAATCCAAGACAGGAGCCCTCTGACCTATGACCACGATCACCAGGGGGTTGCTGGGTGCTGACCACCCACTGGGGGAGTGTGTGTGTGAACCCCGACATCTGTATGTCCCTGTGTGTGCGGGGGTCACAGGGCCCATGAAAAGGCTGTTCCAGAATATTCTGTTGTAGAGCTCAGGGACAGGCACCCCACCTTCCTTTTACAGACTGAAGTTGTTAAACCCAAGATAAGAGTGACACCGAAGAATGACATGTCCTAGAGGCACCACAAGGCTGGGCCAGGCAGACAGCAAGGGCTTGTCCTGACCACCTTGGGGAGAAGGAGGCGCCGCCTTAGAGAGGAGGATGTGGAACTGCCCTTCCCTCCCTGTGCTCAGAAGATTCTCCTCGCTTTCCACGTTTCTATGGCTACTATCACACCTTGGTGCCCAGGGCTGAAGGAAGGACCCATCCCGCAAAGACATGGTGTCTCCCTACAACAAAAGCCTCAGCTGAGAACTTTGAGCAAGTGCTGAGTAAAGAGACTCCTACTAGATTTTAATACTGTAAGATTACTCACATAAAACAACACAGGGTAGACATGAGGTGGAGGGCATGTCCTTTGTGAATGGATATCAGCGGATGCCTGAACGAAAATAAACAACTGAGCCCCCATCAGAGGATTTGGAATGTCAGGGCCATGGCTGTGGTTTCCCACCTCTTCTGGTAGAATGACAGCAGCCACACTGCAGCCCCTACCATCATGGAAACGCTGAAGTGTGTGAGTAACACCTTTGTCCTCAGAGGATCTGCTGTTCCTACCACTTCCCAACCACACACCCCAGCTTTGAGCACCCCAGTCTAACCCTGGTCCCCACAGAACTTGACTCTGCCAAGGGGTTGAGAGGCCAGGGAGGCGAGGTCAGAAATGTGGGCTGAGCACCCCAGGGTCCTCTCTTCCTAGTTTATGAGAGACTCCCCGACAGGACTTCCCTCCTGTTTCAGGAAAATCCTCTTATGTGGGGAGATGACACCCGAAGGTTTGGAGAAGGACTCACCCTCATGTGGCCAGGCCCCCTGCAGCAAGAAGAACCCTGGAAAGAAAGATCATGATGGACCATCCATCTGCAGGCAAACCAGGCCTCCCTTGCTGCCCCCACTGGGCTGTGAGTCTTGGCAGCCAGGCCCTTCCTGGGCTGAAGTTAAACTCACCCTCAGTGCCTACCTGCACCCAAGAACAGGGCTGTCGGCTGTGCAGAGACCCAGTTTCCAGGCCCATATCCCCACCCCAAGCCCATATCTCCACTCCAGGCTGATATTTCCACCCTAGGCCCATATCGCCAATCCAGGCTCAGATCTCCACCCTAGGCCCCTATCTCCAATCCAGTCCCATATCTCCGCCCCAGGCCCAGATCTCCACCCTAAGCCCATATCTCCACTCCAGGCCCATATCACCTCTCCAGTCCCATATCTCCACACCCAGGCCCATATCTCCTTCCTAGGCCCATATCTCCACTCCAGGCCCAGATATCCATCTCTAGGCCCATAACTCCACTCCTGGCCCATATCTCCACTCCAGGCCCATATCTCTACTGCAGGCCCGTATCTCCACCTCCAGACCCATATCTCCACTCCAGGCCCATATCTCCACCTCCAGGCCCATATCTCCACCTCCAGGCCCATATCTCCACTCCAGGCCCATATCTCCACTCCAGGCCCCTATCTCTACTGCAGGCCCATATCTCCATCTCCAGGCCCATATCTCCATCTCCAGGCCCATGTCTCCACTACAAGCCCATATCTCTACTGCAGGCCCATATCTCAACCTCCAGGCCCATATCTCCACTCCAGGCCCAGATCTCCACTCCAGGCCCAGATCTCCACTTCTAGGCCCATCACTCCATCTCTAGGCCCATAACTCCACTTCCAGGCCTATATCTCCAACTCTGGGCCCCGATCTCCATCCCCGCACTCCCTCCCTCGATGCCCTTCCAGGACTCACCAACACACACCATGCTGACGACCATGAGCGACATGGTGCTGTCTGTGCAGACAGGCGGCCGCGCCCCAGCTCAGCTCAGCAGCGCACAGGATGTTATTTGGCGCCCTGCCCATGCAGTTTACATGTTGACCACATCATGGGAGGGTGACGTACGCAGGCTCTTTCTACCTTGCATGAGGCCCAGTGGGTGCTCGCTCAAGAGCGGAACATGGCTTCCTGGAAATTGTTCTCACTAGAATTGACACCTTGCGTCCTTCACTACGACCAGACTCAAAAGACGTCTCAGATCCAACCTCTCATACACGAGATGATTGAATTCTGTGCTTACATTAAAGATTTTTGATGTATTTTTGTTTTTATCTGAGATTCAAACTCTTCTTCATATGTAATGTGCAAAATGTCTAACAGGTATTATTAACATTATCAGAGTAATTGTGACAAGAAGCCATTCTAATTTTCCTGCTTGAGTTTCTACTACTAAACCAGAGGCATCAGAATAGCTTGAACCTGGGAGACGGAGGTTGCAGTGAGCTGAGCTCAAGCCACTGAACTCCAGCTTGGGTGACAGAGGAAGAGTCTGTCTCAAGAAAAAAAAAAAAAGCAAACTAAATAACCTATAATAACAAATCAGAGGACTCAGGTTACCAAATTTTAAGGGGTTCTATAAGTTTATATAAAATGCAGCATCCTCATGAGAGGGGATACAGAGAACCACTGGACAGAAAACTGTGTCTAAAATACATCTGTGGATACACAGTCCCTTTATAGTTGACAAAGGCTGCCATGTAGTTTAAGGTGGAATAGAATATTTTCTCAACAAATAACACAGGACCATAGGGTTACACGTAGGAAAAAATAAATCTAAACTTATCCTCACACTATAAAAACACTTCTTATTTTTTATCTTGTTGTTGTAAATTTTTTATGCTTTATTTTTAAGATTGACAAATAAAAATTATATACCATGGTCCTTCACTATACCTGGGTGATTGGTTCCAGGATCCCCATTCAGATACCAAAATCTGCAGATGCTCAAGCCCCTTGCATGAAATGGCATAGTGAAGCTGGGCACCGTGGCTCACGCCTGTAATCCCAGCACTTTGGGAGGCTGAGCTGGGTAGATCACAAGGTCAGGAGTTCAAGACCAGCTGGTCCAACATTCTGAAACCCCATCTCTACTAAAAATATACACACAAAAAAATTTATCTGTGCAGGGTGGCACGTGCCTGTAATCCTAGGGGAGGCTACTGGGGAGGCTGAGGGAAGAGAATCGCTTGAACCTGGAAGGCGGAGGTTGCAGTGAGTTGAGATCACGCCACTGCACTCCAGCCTGGGTGAGAGAGTGAGACTGTCTCAAAAAAAAAAAAAATAGCATAGCAATTGCATAGAACCCATGCACATCCTCCTGTATACATGAAATCATCTCTTGATTACTTATAATTCCTGACACAGCCTACACGCCACTCAATTTGTGTCGATTCAACATAGTTTTTTGCTTTTTGAAACTTCGGGGATTTTTTTTCTCAAAATATTTTTGATTTATTGCTGATTCAATAAACATGTGTAAACCCCAGAGATATGGAGGAGTGACTGTCTATTTATAGTAGTATGAAAGATGATGTGTTGATACGTGTCCCTGTGGAGATGAGACTAACAAGGCCTATGACTCTACAAATGTTTCATCGTGGAATGACTCTGCCAGCTTTCCAGATCTGCAGAGAGTAAGAATATCACTTGTTCATCTGATTCACCATCCTTGGAACCTCCTATGTGCTGCATCTTTGGATGGAAATTGGAGTCTCAGAGACAATTCAGGCTCCACCCTGCTTCCAGAAGCTCAGAGTCCAGGGGTGAGAACCCAGCGGAGAACAGATGGGGTTATGTGGACGTGGTAATGATAACACCGGAAGCCTTAGGCAAGAAAAGAGTCCCATTGACGAAACCATGAGGGCAGACATGTTTACTTGAAGAAGAGAAAACTACATTGAAATTATAAAAAAAATTTATAAGTTTTACTGCTGACAGAAGGCTGAAAGATACTCTGAGGAAAGGTGGAATAGCACGTATCTAAGTGCCGTGTTAAGAGGGAGCCTCTTATATGTTTGGAATTGTGAGTTCCTCAGTGTGATCGCAGCCTCAAGTAGACTAGGAAGTAAGCCAGTTAGGTTGGAGAGGTGGGCAGGGGTCAAGTGAAATGGAGAATTGTGGGCTAAGCAAGTGTGTTTTCTCTCCAGCAGGCAGTGGGGACCTTAGACATTTGTAAGCAAGAGAGAGGCATGTTCAGATTCGTGGTGTGAGGAAGAGCGATGCCCTAAGATGCAGACTCACGCCTTCAGAGTCCAGCTGCTGGTACATGGGAGCTGGCAACCCGGTTTTGAGACAGGGCTATTGTCTCCCTAGAAGATCCCATCAAGGCCTGACTGTGGTGCTAGTGGACAGAAGACAACTTTGGATCTGCGCTCAGCATTTGGAAGTTCCGTGTTACACGCTGGTATCTGTTGGGGGTGTCTTGGGCCTCTGAGAAGGGCGAGTGATTTTTCTCTGTGTGAAAACGCAGTGATTCAACTGTGCGTATGTCACCTCCTGAGGGTCTTGTTCATCAGAGTCCTGGAGGGAGGGAAATGCTGAGTGAGGGAGGGTGCTCACATTTTCCAGGACTCTTTGGGAATAAGACTAGCCACGAGGCTGGGCGGAGGAGCACCTACCTCCCTGTTCACTGTTCTGTTCCCTGCAGGCTCTTGGTCCATTACAACAGCATCTGTAGAAGACGGAAGTCGTCAAAACAGCTCGGAGGGCACTTCTGGGTCCTCATTTCATAAGCAGATACCAACATACAGGGGGAGGCCATAGGTGCCTGAGGTCCCTCAGTTGCCAACAGCAGACTCAGACATTCTATCTCTCTGAGCTCAAGGATCCATCCCATGTATAGCTCTGAGTTCCCATCCTATTGATTCTGTGTCCCACTTTCTGCCTGTCATGGAACCTTCTCCTGGATGTGAGTGGCTGCAGGGGATGTGAGGATACGGTTCAGAATCAGGCAATGGTCTGTGAGCTGAAGGCAGAGGCAGGGAGTCTGGTGCTCTCTCTAGAAAGTCCTGCCTCTGTGGCTCCTGCCTTGGGCCAGGGACCATCCTGCCTGTGAGGAACACACACCTGAGTGCTCCCATCCTGCTTCCCCACATGGCCCTGAGCTCTCTGGCTTCTGCTTCGTGAGACTTACTCTTTTTGTTGGCACACCAGCGATGAAGGAGAAAGAAGAGGAGGATAGCAAAGGGGATGATGACCACTGAGGTCCCAATCAGAACGTGCAGGTGTCTGGAGTTACCTGGAGGAAGACAAGACACCAATAAGAAGCTAATCATAGCAGTTCCTCTATATGAATTGTCTCACATTTCTTGATTGACAGGTAACCACATACAACGTCTCTTTAGGACAAGCACCCAGATGGCGGGAGACCTAGCTTCCTCCTGCTTTCTCAGTTGTAGTAACCATAGAACGTGCTGAGGATACAACTGCTTTAGTTTAGATGTTTGACCCCTTCAAACCTCACATTGAAATGTAACCCCCAGGGTGGGAGGTTGGGCCTCTTGGGAGTTGTTTGGGTCATGGAGGTGGATCCATCATGAACAGATCAATGCTGTTCCAAGGAGACGGGGTTAGCAAGTTCCCCCTCTATTAGTTCCTGGAGAACTGGTTGTTAAAAGAGCTTGGAAGCTCCATCGCTCCCCCTCCCCCTTGGTCCCTCTCTTGCCGTGTGATCTCTGTGGTCTCTGCACAGACAGACCCTCCTTCCCTTCTGCCAGAGTGGGAGCAGCCTGAGGCCGTCACAAGAAATAGATGCTGGTGCCATGCTTCCAGTACAGCCTGCAGAACTGTGAGGCAAACACATTTCTTTTCTTTAGAAGTTACCCAGGCTCAAGTGTTCCTTTAGAGCAACAAAAATGGACTAAGACAGCAACGTCCTGAGATCAGGAGGAACATCCCAGAACAGCCTGGGCTGTCTTCCTGTTCTTCCTGGAGGAGGACGTCATGCAGTGCTTTAGCTGAGTGCTTCCTGTGGCTCCAGGGTACAAAACCCAGGCTGGGCTGCTTTTTGATTTCCCCCAGATACACTGCATATGGGGTGACTCCACATGTCTCGAGCAGCTTTTCTGAGCCTTGAGGGACTGGCTCACATTGAAATGTAGGTTTCTGTTGTCACTCGCTGCTTATCTGTTAGTAATGAACCTGCCTGTGTAATGTGTTCTCTGTGTGTTCTGTCTCCCTGGAGTGACGGTGAGTGATAGGAATTGGTATAGGCCCAGGTGCATTCCAGGAGGTGTTTAGAATCTTCTCTGGGAAGACTGGATTGGGATTGATACACAGCGAATGTGCTTTACAGTTTCTACCACCACAACCCTCTTGACTCAAAAAAAATTACATTCTCCAAGAAAAGAAAGAAAAAATGAAATCAAGATAAAAAAAGTGAAGTAGAACTGACTTAAATCAAACAGCCATGAAATAATGATGTAGCCCAGGAACAACATGCTACTTTTTGTGATCTGCTGAGACATATATTAGGCTGCTATTCCACCCGAGAAGCACGGGGAAGGACCGCCCTCTCCGTCGTTTATTGTTTCAATACAGCCTGTCCTTCTGTGAGTTAGTACGAAATGTGACCAGGGGCTAGTGCTGGCACTGGTCTCTGAGTCCAAGATCTGAGCTCACTCCAAAGAGTATTAGTGTTTACCTCCCCATGATCTATCTGTATCTCCATAGGTGATTGGAAGTAGAGATGAATTGGGGGATTTGGGTGAAGGGGCAAGTTTTATGCCATGAACAGAGCACGTTCTCTATTCCAGGACCTGTGCTGGTGGGTTCAGGAGGCTTTCACATTTTCCATATGATCCCAAGCTCACAGAAAGCCAAATAAGGAAGAGGTTTAACCTGATTGTTTAATGGATAAGATAAAGGGTCAAAGAATTAAACACAGAGAAATAGAAAAATGATGGTTGGTATCCAGTTGCCTTTGTAATTTCTGTGTGTCATAATTATGTATGTTTTATTTTTATTTTTTGAGACAGAGTCCCCCTGTGTCAGGCTGGAGTGCAGTGATGCGATCTCAGTTCAACCTCTGCCTCCAGGGTTGAAGCCATTCTTCTGCTTCAGCCTCCCCAGTCGCTGGGATTACAGGCAGGTGCCAATGCACCAGGCTAATTTTTGTATTTTTAGTACAGACGGGGTTTCACCATGTTGGCCAGGCTGGTCTCAAACTCCTACCCTTAAGTGATCTACCCGCCTTGGCCTCCCAAAGTGTTGGGTTACAGGTGTGAGCCCCCATCCACAGTCTTGTATATTATATTATACTAGGTCCCTTCATTTGCACCACCCCTCATGTGTCTATCGCTCCTCTGCCAGGTATTGATTTAGATGTAGAAAAAAAACACATCTCAGAAAGAAATTAATGAAACAAGGATTAAACTACTAGGAAAAATCAAACCCAGCAAGCCCTCCCTGCAAATGATTCTACCTCACAAGCATAGCTTATATCCATCTTTCATTCATTTAGTGTGTAAATCAACCCTACGTTTCACCAGTGGGGCGGGAATTGCCTTTTCCACGGTCTCCTAGATTCCAGTTACGCACCTGGGCCTCCCTTATTTTCATGTCGGTCACTGTTAATCAGGTAGGGATTCCTAGTTAGCTCTGAGTTGAATCCAAGGGCTGTGAGTATCAAAAACATGCTCCTTGTTCCTCCTTAGTTTCCTGTGTACCCAGTGTGCTCTCCATCTCTCTACAGTTGTCTTGTCATTCTCCCCATCTCATTCCCAGCATTTGAGGCAGAGCCTCTTCCTTGAACTAAGAATGTTTCCACCTTTGTGCCTTCACGGCTGAGAGCTCAGTGTGGAAAATCCTTCCGCCAATCTTCCAAGGGTTGAATCCATTTTTTCCATTAAGGTCACAAATATTATCTGATCAGTGAGACCTTCTCTGTCACCTGAAATTATATACTCAGCATTATCTATTACTTATTTTAAATCCTGGCTGGGCGCAGTAGCTCTCGCCTGTAATCTTTGCACTTAGGGACGCTAAGGCGGTGGGATCACTTGAGATTGGGAGTTTGAGACAGCCTGCACAACATGGTGAAACCTCATTTCTACTAAAAAATATACCAAAAAAATTAGCCGAGTGTGGTGGCGCACAGCTGTAATCCCAGCTACTCGGTAGGCTGAGGCAGGAGAATTGCATGAACCCAGGAGGCAGAGGTTGCAATGAGCTGAGATTGTGCTACTGCACTCCAGCCTGTGGAACAGAGAGAGACTCTACTCAAAAAAAAAAAAGAAAACAAAAAACACACACACACACAAAAAACCCCAGATTTGGTGCACAGATGCTTCCCAATGGATCATTCATTTATTGGTACCCTTGTGCATTCATTCTCTGCCCTCGCATTTACCCATCTGCAATATCAGCGTCCCAAGAGCAGAGGCCAAATGCATCCTGTTTACCATTTGTGGAAGGCAGGAGAATGCTGCCCCACCCCCAAAATGTCCCTGTCTTAGCCTCCATAGCTTGTGAATATGTTATTTTACAGGAAAGGAGGAATGAAGATTGCAGATGGCATTACGGTTGCTAATCAGCTGAACTTAAAAAGAGGGTACGCTGGATGATTTTAGGGAGATTGAGATGGATTATCTTGGTGACCCCAATAGAATCCCAAAGTCCTTAAAAGATGAGGAAGAAGGCAGAGCAGGATTCAGAGAAAAAGGTATGGGTAAAGAAGAAGAGTCTGAATGATGCCATGTGAGACGTGACCAGCCTTTGTGGGCTTTGAGGAAGGAGGAAGGAGGAAGGGGACCAGGGGCCCAGGAACGTGGGAGCCTCTAGGAGCTGGGAAACGTTAAGGAGCAGATTCTTGCTTGGAACCTTAAAAAGAAATCCAGCCTTACTGTCCCTTTGATATCAGCCCAGTGAAATGCAGTTCATACTTCTGAGTTACAGCACTGTGAGATAATTAAGAAAAACATGTTTTCATCCACGAAGCTTGTGGAAATTTGTTATGGCAACAATAGGAAAAGATTCCACACTGCACAGCCAGAGCATGGGGCATTGGCTGAACGAGTGAGTGAGTGGAAGTGTCGTGTGCATAAATAAGCTAAATTCTCTCTTACTGCACGTCTCTTGCTCTGCTGAGTCAACCAGGGTTGCATCTGGTACACTGCTGATACGAATGCAAATTAGTACAGCCATTACAGAGGAGAAGAGTATGGAAGTTCCTCAAAAAATAAAATGAGGTCGGGCACAGTGGTTCATGCCTGTAATCCCAGCACATTGGGAGGCCGAGGTGGGTAGGTCACTTGAGGTCAGGAGTTGAAGAGCAGCCTGGCCAATATAGCGAAACTCTGTCTCTACTAAAAATATAAAAATTAGCCGAGTGTGGTGGTGGGAGCCAGTAACCCAGCTACTTGGGAGGCTGAGGCTGGGGAATCTCTTGAATCCTGGAGGTGGAGGTTGCAGTGAGCCCAGATGGCACCACTGCACTCCAGCCTGGGCAACAAGAGTGAAACTGTCTAAAAAAAACAAAAACAAAAACAAAAACCATAAAACAAAATGTAAAAAGACACTTCCAGAGGATCTAGCAATTCCATGACTGGGTGTAAACCCAAAGGAAAGGACATCAGCGTATCGAAGTGACATCTGCACTCCCATGACTGTTCCAGCAGTGTTCACAGTAGCCAAGATGTGGATCAACCTACCTGCCCATCAGTGGGTGAATGGATGGAGAGAATGTGGTACACACACACAATAGGGACAACTCATCCATAGAAAGAGTAACATCCTGTCATTTACAGCCACATGAATGGAACTGGAGGTCATTACAAGTATTTCCATTTCTCACTCATATGCAGGAGCTAAAAGGTGGATCTCACAAAGGTAGAGAGTAGAATGGTGGCTACCAGAGGCCAGGAAGGGAAGGGTGGAGGGTAAAAAAAAAAGAATACTAATTAATTAATTAATTAATTTTGAGAGAGTGTCTCTCTCTGTTGCCCAGGCTGCAGTGCAGTGGCATGATCTCAGCTCACTGCAACCTCCGCCTCCTGCAATTAAGTGCAACTCCTGCCCAACCCTCCCAAGTAGCTGGGACTACAGGCATGTGCCACCATGCTCGGCTAATTATTATCATTATTATTATTATTTTGTATTTTTAGTACAGATGGATTTTCCCCATGTTGGCCAGGGTGGTCTTGAGCCCCTGATCTCAAATGATCCACCTGCCTTGGCCTCTCAAAGTGTTGGGATTACAACAGTGAGCCACCGTGCCCAGCCTATAAATGTATTTATGAACAGTAGACTTCACACTTAAAAATGGTAAAGGTGGTAAATTACATAGGTATATTTCACCTCAATAAATATTTCTTCAAACAAAAAGAAAAGGGTGTAGGCGTTGCTGGTGATGACATCTCTCTGTGGGTGACAGGCCAGGATGGGCTTCTGGGAAGTGGGTAAGGTTGAGGGGCTGAGAGAACCTCTGATCTCCCCAGGCAGAGCCCAGTCTCCCTCCTCTGGGTCTGTTCTGACCTCTTTCTCCATCTGCCTGGGTGCCTGGAACCCTGATCAAGGGCCTCCTTGCAGGCCATACAGGAGGGTTTGGAGGTGCCCTGTCTGCCATCCTGCCCCCTGACCCCGCCCTTACACCCATGCTGTGTGTTCTGTCTCGGCATCTGTCCATGCTTCTCTCCATCATCAGCAGGAAGCTCCTCAGCTATGGCTCTAGGATCACAAGACATGGGACAGGCATGGTGTTTTCTCACCTGTGACAGAAACGGGCAGTGGGTCACTCGGGTCTGACCACGCGTGGGGCAGGGCACGGAAAGAGCCGAAGCATCTGTAGTTCCCTCCGTGGGTCACAGGGCCCAGAGGGAAGTTGGCCTGGAATGTTCCATTGACCCTCAGCACCGCAGTGAGCCTAAGTTCACCGGCCTCTGCCTCCCTGGATAGATGGTAAATGTCAAACAAGCTCCGGGAGCTGCAGGACAAGGTCACATTCTCTCCTGCCTGAACCGTGGGGCCCGGCTGGGCTGAGAGAGAAGGTTTCCCATATAGACCTGGAAGGAGAAGAGGTGGTTTCCTCAGGGAGGTTCTTCGTTGTCACAGCTCTCCTCACACCTGAGCTGAGAACTCACTCCCCTGCTCTATGACTTAATGCTCTCTTTCTCTCTCTCACCCTCCACCCCCATCTCTCTTCATGTCTATTTCCTCCTTCCACCTTCTCTGTCTCTCTAGGTCTCTGACCTCACTTCTCCATCCCTAGCTATGTTTTCTTTTTTTGTACCATTTTATTCTCTCTGACCCTCCTTGGACTGGTTGACTTGATCTTCCTCTTTCTTTAATTCTGAGTCTCTCACTTTCTGTCTTGCTCATAACTTTCTGCATATTTCTATCTACTATCTATTGATCGATCTATCATTTATCTATGTATGTATCTATCATCTATCATCATCTGTGTATCTATGACCTATCTCTCTGTTATCTATCATCTATCAATCAATGTATGTATGTATGCATCTATCCATCTATCATCATGTGTTTATCTTTCTATCTCTCTATATCTATTTATATATCATCTGTCTGTCTTTCTACTTGTCTATCTATATCATCTATCAGTCATTCATCATCTATTTGTCTATCACCTGTCTCTCTATTATCTATCATCTACCTTTTATCTTTCATCTATCTATATCTATCTATCCATCTATCATCTGTCTCTCTCCATCTCCTTGTCTTTCTCTGCCTCTCAGTCTCTCTAGTTCCCTTTTGGAGTCTCTGCAATCCATCCCCACATCTTTATCTTTCCCTGTCTTTGTGCCCCTCCCTCAGGGCTCTGATTTTAGGGCTTTTCTCTGCTTCCTTCCATCATACGCTCCACTTCTCTGCCCTCTTTTTCTATCTCTTTATGTGTCTGTGAGTCTCTCAATTCCCTTCTTCTGGCTCATTCTGTGTGTGTGTTCATGTCTTTGCTTTTTGATTTCCCTGATTTCACTCCGTGTCTCTCTGTGGGCTTTTGTTCTCAGTAATCCTATAACATGTGGTGCTATTTGAATATGAGCCTCAGAATCCAGTATGGGGACTCCAGGAACTCACAACATACAGGGGTTGGTGTTCTGCTCCCTCACCTGGGGCCATGGTGTCCTGCGACGACGACAGCTCCACTGCACGGAAGGCAGAGGTTTAAGAATAAACACAGCATCTGTAGGTGCCACCAGCCTGGGGCCACACGGCCCAACTCAGGCCAGATAGATGTGTCTCTTTGGGTTCTCCTGGGAGAGAACACTTTGTAGAGGTAAAACAGAATGGAACCTTCTAACCTGTGCCTGGTCTCTGAACAAAGTCAGCATAGAAGGACACCTCTCTCTGGGATATATCTGTCTCTCTGTGTCTTCTTTACCTCTTTATCTCTTTTTCTAACACCTTGTATGGCCCCTGTGTCTGGCTTCTATGTTATGACATGAGGTCTGTACTTGTGTCTCCTGTTTCTCTGCCTTTGTTGGTACAGACCTCACCAAGTCACTTTCTCTCCATAGGAACCCCACACTCATCTTCCTCATGACCACCTGGGGCTTCCAGTCCTAGATCATTCACTCCATCTCCCAGCAAGGGTGAGAGGCAGGTCTGTATTCTCTCACCTACGACCACGATGTCCAGAGGGTCACTGGGAGCCGACAACTCATAGGGTAAGTGAGTGACAGAACCAAAGCATCTGTAGGTCCCTGCAAGGGCAGGTGTCATGGGACCCATGGAATAGTTGACCTGGGAACCCGCATCGTGGAGCTGTCCAATGAGGCGCAAGGGGTCCTCAGTGATCCCCTCTCTGTGCAGAAGGAAGCGCTCAAACCTGACATCTGACCAACATTGCAGGATGACCGTCTCTCCCGATTTCACCAGGGGACCTGGGTGGGCCAGGAGGGAAGGTTTTCTGTGGACTCCTAAGAAGAGAGGTTGTGAGTTCAGAAGGCGTCTCCCTTTCTCATCCCATTCATGGGACCTGAAATAAGTGAGGCTTCCCCTCCATGGTGTCTATCTCTCTCCTTCCTCTCTGTGTCTCCGTGTTCTTTTGTGCCCATAACCCCTGTTGCAGGTCCCTCCATCTGTCTCCCTCCCTCTTCCCTGTCTCTCTGTCTCTAGTAGCCCTGATTCCCTTCCCACTGTGCTCAGTGTCACCTCTTATGCTGTTGTATCTGTTTCCCACTAATCTCTTTCCTGGTGTTTATGTGGGGGTGGAAGAGGAACCACGACAGGCTGCATGTCCAGGCTCTTAGCAGCCTGAATCAATCTCTTTTGGACAGATTGGAAAGGCTGGCAGGAGGTACGAACTCATCAGTAAGGCAGGCATCAGTGTCCCTGTTCCTGATGGGGATTGGGAGCCTCTCCTGTCATGTCTGTGCCTTCTCCATGGCCCCAGCTTCCATAGGGTGGCCCCTGGTGCTGGTTCCAGGAGCATCAACCCCTCCCTATGTGGATCGAGCCTGGTGGTAGCATCAGTATCCCACCCATGCTAAAATCAGTGTAGCCAACCTTCTCCTTGTTTGGTTTCTTAACTTGTGCTTCACCTGGGTTCCTGTGTTGGTTTCCTGTTGCTGCTGGAGAAAATTGTCACAAACATGGGGCAAGAGAGAATACAATGACCCCTTCCACTTCTGGAGAACAGAAATCGGACCCAGTTCTCTCTGGGCTAAAATCAAGGCATCTACAGGGCTGTGTTTCCTCTGGAGACTCAGGGAAGAATCAGTTCCCTTGACTTCTCCAGCCCTTAGAGGCCAACTGCCTTTGTGGCTCATGGCCTTCCCCCATCTTCAAAGCCCGCTGTGGCTGATGGAGTCTCCCTCCCACGACGTTGCTCTAACCCCACTTTCCTCTTCCTCCTCCTCTCATGAGGACCCTTGTGATTACTCTGAGCACAGCAGGACAGTCCAGGCTGTCTCCCCATCGCAAGGTCAACCCATCAACAACCTGAGCTCCATCTTCCCCTTCAGTCCCCTGCCCTATGACATAAATAGTCACAGGGTTCATGGATTACCATGTAGCCATCACTGGGGACAATTATTCTTCCCACCACAGCAACTATTTCTCTGTACTGAATCCCCCTTTACCCCAAATACAGTCTGGGCCTGGATGATTGGACCCTGATGGACACCCCCACCAGAAGCTCTGGGATTCAGGAGGTGGGACAGTGAGAAGCCCAGACAGAAAGCCTCTGACCTGTGACCATGATCACCACAGGGTTGCTGGGTGCCGACCACCCAGTGGGGGAGTGTGGGTGTGAACTGCAACATCTGTAGGTCCCTGCATGTGCTGGGGTCACAGGGCCCATGAGAAAGCTGTTCCGGAATATTCTGTTGTAGAGCTCAGGGACAGGCATCCCGTCTTCTTTGGACAGACTGAATTCGTTAAACCCAAGACGAGAGCGACACTGAAGAGTCACATGTTGTCCTTCAGACACCACAGTGCCGGGCCAGGCAGAGAGGAAGGGCTTGTCCTGACCACCTGGGGGAGAAGGAGGCACTACCTTAGAGAGGAGGATGTGGAGCCGCCCCTCCCTCCCTGTGCTCAGAAGATTCTCCCATTTCCACGTTTCTAAGGCTCCTACCACACCTGGGTGCCCAGGGCTACAGGAAGGACCCATCCCGCATAGACATGGCGTCTCCCTACAGCAAGTGTCAGCTGAGAACTTTGAGCAGGTGCTGAAGAAGCGACTCTTACTAGATTTTAACACTGCAAAATTACTTACATAAAAGAACACAAGGTAGACACAGGATGGAGGGCATGATCAGCTAATGCATGAACCATAATAAACAACTGAGCCCCTATTAGAAGATCTGGAATGTCAGGGTCATGACTGTGGTTCCCCCACCTCTTAGGTAGAATGACAGCAGCCACATTGCAGCCCCTACCGTCATGGAAACGCTGGAGGGTGTGAGTTATGCTCTTGTCCTCAGAGGCCTGTTGTTCCTTGCACTGCTTCTCTCCCTTCCTCTGCCGGTGACACCACTTCCTCCCTGCACACCACTCCTTTGAGCACTTCAGTCTCCCCCTGGGTCCCCACAGACTCAGCCAAGGGAAAGAAAGGCCGGGGAGGGCTAGGACAGAACTGTGGCGAAGCTTCCCCTGGCTTCCTTTTCCTAGTTCATGAGAGATTCCCACATGGCTTCCCATGGTCAGCCCATCAGTCAACCCCCTGTGTCGCCTGCCTCCCGTTTCAGGAACATCATCTTATGTGGGGAGATGACAACCTAAGGTTTGGGGGAAGGACTCACCCACATGTGGCCAGGGCCCCTCCAGCAAGAAGAACCCTGGAAAGAAAGATCATGATGGATGATCCATCTGTACATCACCTCCAGGCCCATATCTCCACTCCAGGCCCATATCTCCACTTCCGTCCTATATCTCTACTCCAGGCCCATATCTCCACTCCAGGCCTATATCTCCACCTCTGTCCTATATCTCTACTCCAGGCCCATATCTACACTCCAGGCCCATATCTCCACCTCCAGGCCTGTATCTCCACCTCCAGGCCCGTGTCTCCATTCCAGGCCCATATCTGCACTCCAAGCCAACATCTCCACTCCAGGCCCATATCTCTACTCCAGGCCCATATCTACAGTTCCAGGCCCATATCTCCACCTCCAGGCCCATATCTCCACTCTAGGCCCATATCTCCACCTCCAGGCCCGTATCTCAATTCCAGGTCCATATCTGCACTCCAAGCCAATATCTCCACTCCAGGCCCATATCTACAGTTCCAGGCCCATATCTCTACTCCAGGCCCATATCTCTACTTCAGGCCCATATCTACAGTTCCAGGCCCATATCTCCACTCCAGGCCCATATCTCCACCCCAGGCCCATATCTCCACTCCAGGCCTATATCTCCACTCCAGGCCCATATCTCCACTCCAGGCCCATATCTCCACTCCAGGCCCAGATCTCCACCCCACCGCTCCCTCCCTCGATTCCCTTCCAGGACTCACCAACACACGCCATGCTGACGACCATGAGCGACATGGTGCTGCCGGTGCAGACAGGCGGCTGCGCCCCAGCTCAGTTCAGCAGCACACAGGATGTTGTGAGGGGCTCATGCAGTTTACATGCTGACCACATCATGGGAGGATGACGTATGCAGGCTATTTCTACCTTGCATGAGGCCCAGTGGCTGTTTGGTCAAGAGCAGAACATGGCTTCCTGGAAATTGTTCCAACTAGAATTGACACCTTGCATCCTTCACTATAACCAACTCAAAACACGTCTCAGATCCAATCTCTCATACAGGAGATGACTGAATGCTTGGCTTACATTAAAGACTTTTGATGTATTTTTGTTGTTTTTATCTGAGATTCAAACTCTTCTTCATGTGCTATTTTCCCCAGGCTGTTCTTTGACTTCAGAGTTCAAGCAATCCTCCTGCCCCAGCATTTCTAGCAGCTGGCAGTATGTCACAATCTGCCACACCCAAGTCACAACTTTTAGAACTTTTTTTTTTTTTGAGATGCAATCTCACTTCGTCACCCAGTTTGGAATGCAGTGGTGAGACCTCGGCTCATTGCAGCCTCCACCTCCCAGGTTCACGCAATTCTCGTGCCTCAGCCTCCTAAGTAGCTGGATTTACAGGCACCCACCACCACGCCCACCTAATTTTTGTACTTTTAGTAGAGAGGAGGTTTCTCCATGTTGGCCAGGCTGGTCTTGAACTCCTAACCTCAAGTGATCTGTCTACTTCAGCCTCCCAAAGTGCTGAGATTACAGGTGTGAGCCACCATGCCTGGCCGGGACATTCTATATGTGTGCGTATGTGTGCATTTATATACATATGGTTATACACACACACACACACACACACACACACCCTAAGCACTCACATATATAGTTGTTTCAAATTTTAAAAAATATAAATTTTGTATTTTTCTTTCTTTTTCTCACATTTGTGTTTCTATGACACCATATACATATTGAATTTTATAGCTCTATTTTATTCTTTTGGATTGCAGTTTAATAGTCCATGCATAACTTTATCAACATGTAATTATCCATTCTTTTTATCATGGACATTTGTGTTGTTTCCGGATTTTCTCTTTTATAACTCGGGCCTTGATAATCGTGTTTCTGTGTGATCCCTTGCATACATATGCTGAATTAATTAGACATATTTACCTAGAAATGAAATTATTGGTTTTGGGTGCAAGTTGGTGTTGAGCTTAACCAGGAAGTGCCAAAATATTTCCATCATGACCAAATGTGGCCTGGAAAGTTTTTTGGGGTCAATTTTCCTGTTTCTTCTAAGGAACAAAATTGATGTCACTGATTTTTCTGTCCTGTTTGTCATTTATGAATGTATGTACATATGCACGTATATATTTGCTTGCCATTTTATGTTTTTCCTCGACGTTACTTTGGAATTAATTTGCTGATGTGTAGTATTTCTGCAAGTGAAAGTTACCTATTTACTCAGCTCTTCCTTCTTTTCTAACACAGACATTTGAGGCTTATTTTCCTTTAACACTGTTCTATCTGTATCCCCAGTCATTTGCCGAGATGTGTTTTCATTTTTAATTGATACAAAATATTTTCCACCTTTCTTTGAAATGTTTTTCTTCCACTCATTGTTTATTGCTATGTGTGTTTATTAATTTTAAAATATTTGATAATTTCCCCAGCATTTCCTTGTTGTACATTTATAATTTAATTCAACTGTTTCATCTATCATATTACCTATGATTCAGCATTTAAAAATTTATTTTGGTGAATGTTCCAGGGGTGCTAGACAAGTTTGTGGATTAGGAAGATTTGAGGTGGATGTTTTCTAAATGTCAGTTAAGAAAAAAATCATTCAAATGTTTTTCTTTATTTAAAAAAAATAGAGACGGGGTCTCACTATGGTGCCCAGGCTGGTCTCAAACTCCTGGCCTCAAGTGATCCTCCCATTTTGGCCTCCCAAAGTGCTAGGATTATTGAAATTATTAAATGTTTCATATCAACACCCAACCTTATGCACCCGCCGCCTACACAAATGTTTTTCAAGTCTTTCATATGCTTAATAATTTTCTGTGTACTTGTTCTGGAAGTGAGGTGAATGTTGCTATCTCTAGCTGCAATTTGGATGTGATTGATTATGTTTTGAATTATGCCTTTAATTTAATGTGTTTTGAGGTTCCAGCTTTAGGTGTGTAGGCATTTAGGATTATTATGTCTTATTTATGAATTTGCCTCTTTGTCATTATGAAGTACTCCTCTTCATATCTCCATATATCTCTTCTTTGTATGTGCATGGTGAAATATTTCATTCTTTGAGTTAAGAAACTTCTATTGAGGAATACTTTTTATTACAAACATTTACCTATTCTATGTATACAACTGACTAGAAGCATATTTTGCACTGGGCATTATCATGACAATGTAATGTCATTCTTTCAATATTTACATCTTGTGGATTAGTATTTGAAGTGCAGCTTATGTAGACAGCATAAGGTTGGGTGTTGATATGAAACATTTAATAATTGCACACGTATTTGCCTCTTGGGATACTTCCACTTTTTTGAATTTCAAGTTACTAAATGGTATCATTAATCTTTGCTTCAAGAGCTTAACATTTATTGTAGAACAATGCTTCATGTAATAAATTGTGAGACATTTTTAATGGCACCTTTATTGCAGGAAAATGTTTTCCTTTTCAGGTTGAAAGATTCTAGTTTGAAATATTTTCTTGTAGCACTTTAAAAATGTTGGTCCACCTATTTCTTACTTTCATAGTTTTGAATACAAAGTTTGCTGTCATTCTTGTATTTCTTCTTCTGTTTTTTATTTATTTATTTTTGACAGAATATCTTGCCGTCTCACCCAGGCTGGAGTGCAGTGGCATGATCTTGGCTCACTGCAACCTCTGCCTTCCAGGTTTCAGCAATTCCTGCCTCAGCCTCCTGAGTAGCTGGGACTACAGGCATGCGCCACCATACCCAGCCAATTTTTTTTTTTGTATTTTTTTTTTGTAGAGATGAAGTTTTGCCATATTGGCCAGAACTCCTGACCTCAAATGATCCACCTGCTTTGGCCTCCCAAAGTGCTGGGATTACAGGTGTGAGCCACTGTGCTCAGGCTATTTATTCCTTTTTATATAATATGAATTCACATTCATACATACCAGGGGTTAGGATTTCAACAAACGTTTCTGGGGGAGACCACTCAAAACACAGCACTCATCCTTGGTTATTTCCAGCCATGGAGCCTGTATCAATATCCTGGTGAATTATCTAAGCTGTCCACCTACCTACCCCAAATCCTCATGGTCACATAAAAGGCTAGTATAGTATAATAATTTTTCTTTCCCTGCTTATCTACAGTGATGAAGAAACGAATATTCAAAGGGAAAAATCTTAGCTTTAGGTATAGGGTAATTCTTCTTCCTATTTTTAAATAACTTCAACCTTTACTGTAGATTAAAGGTATGCATGCAGGTTTGTTACATAGGCATATTGTGTGACTCTGAGGTTTGTGGTTCCAACAATGCCATCACCCAGGCAATGAGCATAGAATCCAACAGGTGTTTCTTCAGCCTATACCTCCCTACTCCTCCCCCCATCTGTAGTCCTCGGTATCTGTTGTTTCCATCTTTATGTTCATGTGTATTCAATGTTTGGTTCTCAGTTATAAGTGATAACATGTGGTATTTGGTTTTCTGTTCCTGGGTTAGTTCACTTAGGAGATTGACCTCCTGCTACATTCATGTTGCTGCAAAGGACATGATTTCATTATTTTTTATGGCCATGTAATGTTCCATGTGTATATGTAGCACATTTTCTTTAACTAATCCACTGTTGGTGAGCACTTAGGTTGACTGCAAATCTTTGCTATTCTGAATTGCACAGCAATGAATATACTAGTGCATGTGTCTTTTTGACATAGTTAATTACCTTCCTTTTGGTATATACCCAGTAGTGGGATTGCTTGATTGAATAGTAGTTCTATTTTAAGTTATTTGAGAAGTCTCCAAACTGCTTATCACATTGGCTGAACTAGTTAACATTCCCACCAAGAGTGTATAAGTGTTCCCTTTTCTCCACAATCTTGTCAGCATCTGTTATTAAAAAAAACAAAAAACTTTTTAGTAATTGCTTCTGCTTCTCTGATTGTTGTGAGATGGTATCTCACTGTGGTTTTAATTTGCATTTCTCTGATGATTACTGATAATAAGCATTTGTTCATATGTTTTTTGGCCATGTGTACATCTTCTTTTGAGAAGTGTCTGTTCATGTCATACTTAATTGAGGTTTTTTGGTTTTCTGCTTGTTGATTTGTTTACATTCCTTATAGATTCTGGATATTAGAACTTTGTCAGATGCATAGTTTGCAAATATTTTCTCCCAGTCTGTAGGTTATCTGTTTACTCTGTTGATACTTTCGTTTGCTGTGCAGAAGCTCTTCAGTTGAGTTAGGTCCCAATTTCTGTCTTTGTCACAATTGGTTTTGGGGAGTTAGCCATAAATTCTTTGCCAAAGTCTATCTTGAGAAGGATATTTCCTAGGTTTTCTTCTAGAATTTTAATATTTTGAGGTTTTACATTTAAATCTTTAAACTATCTTGGGTTAATTTTTGTATATAGTGAGAGTTAGGGGTCCAGTTCTATTATTTTGCATATGAGTAGTCAGTTATCCCAGAACTATTTATTGAAGAAAGGGTACTTTCCACATTGCTTGTTTTTGTCAATTTTTTCAAAGATGATTGTAGGTATGTAGCCTCATTTCTGGGTTCTCTATTCTGTCTCATTGGTCTATGTGTCTGTTTTTGTAGTAGTATCATGCTGTTTGGGTTACTATAGCATTGTAGTATAGTTTGAAGTTGGGTAATGTGATGCCTGGGCTTTGTTCTTTGTGCTTAGGATTCCTATGTGTATTCAGGCTCTTTTTTTGGTGCCAAATACATTTTAGAATAAATTTTTATAATTTCGTGAAAAATGACATTGCATTTTGAAATGGATAGCATTGAGTCTGCAATTTGTTTTTGGAAGTATGGCGATTTTAACTATTTGTTCTCCTAATTCATGAGCATGGAATATTCTTCCATTTGTTTGTATCATTTCTTATTTCTTTCAGAAGTGTTTTGTAGTTCTCCTTGTAGAGAATTTTCACCTTCTTGGTTAGATGGATTCCTAGGTATTTTATTTTCTTTGTGGCTAGTGTAAATGGAATTGTGTTCTTGATTTAGTTCTCAGCTAGAATGTTAGTGGTGCATAGAAATGTTACTAATTTGTGTACATTTTTTTAATCCCGAAACTTTATTGAATTTGTTTATCAGTTTCAGGAGCCTTCTGACAGAGTCTTTAGGGTTTTCTATGTATAAAATTATTTCATCAGCAAAGAGAGACAGTATCACTACTTCTTTTCCAATTTTAATGCCTTTTATTTCCTTCTCTTGCCTGATTGCTTTGGCTAGGACTTCCAGTACCATGTTGAATTAAAATGGCGGGAGTGGTCATCCTGGTCTTGTTTCGGTTCTCAAGGGGTATGGTTCCAGCTTTTGCCCATCAATATGATGTTGGCTGTGGGTTTGTCATAGATGGCTCTTAATATTTTGAGGTATGTTCCTTTGATGCCTATTGACAGTTTTTATCATGAAGGGATGTTGGATTTTACAGAAAGCTTTTTCTGCATCTATTGAGATGATCATATAGTTTTTGTTTTTAATTATGTTTATGAGGTGAATCACATTCGTTGACTTTGTAGGTTGAACCAACCTTGCATCCCAAAAATAAAGCTTACTTGATCATGTGAATTAACTTTTGATGCACTGACAGATTCAATTTGCTAGCATTTTGTTGAGGATTTTATGTCTATGTTCATTAAGGATATTTAGTTGTAGTTTTCTTTTTTTCATTATGTCTCTGACAGATGTTGGTATCATGGTGATGATGGCTTCATAGAATGAGTTAGGAAGAAGCCCCCACTCCTTGATTTTTTCCAAAAGTTTCAGTAAGATCGGTATCAGTTCTTCTTTGTATGGCTGTTGGATTTTGGCTGTGAATCCATCTGGTCCTGGGCTATTTTTAGTTAGTAGGGTTTTTATTACTGATTAAATTTCTGAACTTGTTATTGGTCTGTTCAGGTTTTCACTTTCTTCCTGGTTGAAATATGATAAATTTTGTGTTACCAGGAATTTATCCATTTCTTCTAGGTTTTCTAGCTTGTTTGTATAGAGGTGTTCATAATAGTCTTTGACGATCTTTTCTATTTCTGTGGGATTGTTCGTAACATTGTTTTGTCAGTTCTATTTGTGTTTATTTGGATCTTTTCTCTTTTTCTTTGTTAATCTAGCTAACAGTCTATGAATTTTGTTTATTTTTTTTCAAAGAAAAACTCTTGGTTTTATTTATCTCTTGTATGGACTTTTTGGTCTCAATTTATTCAGTTCTCTCTGACTTTAGTTATTTCTCATCTTTTGCTGGCCTTGGGTTTGGACTGTTCCTTTTTTTTAATAGTTCCTCTAGATGCAGTGTTAAGTCACTAATTTGAGATCTTTCTAAACTTCTGATGAGGCATGTATTGCTATAAATTTTCCTCTTATCACTGCTTTAACTGCATCCCAAAGGTTTTGGTAAGTTTGTTTCTATTTTTATTAATTTTAAATAATGTTTTGTGATTTCTGCTTTAATTTCATTGTTCACCCAAGAGTTCTCAAGGGGTACAGTTCCAGCTTTTGACCATTCAATATGATGTTGGCTGTGGATTTGTCATAGATGGCTCTTAATATTCATTCAGAAACAAGTTGTTAAATTTCCATGTTTTTCTGTAGTTTTGAGAGATCATCTTGGTATTTTTTTCTATTTTTATTGTGTGCCTTGTTATGATTTTGATTCTTTGAATTTATTGAGACTTGCTTTGTGGCCAGTCTTAGAATATGATATGTTTTTTGTGTGTGCAGATAAGAAGAATCTATATTCTGCAGTTGTTGGGTGGAGTACTCTGTAGATGTCTATGAGGTCCAATTGGTCAAGTGTTGTCTTTAAGACCAGAATTTCTTTGTTAGTTTTCTGTTTTAGTGATTCATCTGACGTTGTTAGTGGGATACTGAAGTCCCTTACTATTATTGTGTGGCTGTCTAACTCTTTTCATAGGTGAAGAATAACTTGTTTTATGAATCGGGGTGCTCCAAATTTGGGTGCATATATATTTAGAATAGTTAAGTCTTCTGTCAAATTGAACCCTTTATCATTTTGTAATGCCCTTCTTTGTCCTTCCTGATTGCTGTTGATTTAAAGTGTGTTTCATGTGATATAAGAATAGGAATGCCTTCCTTTTTTTTGTTTCCTGGTTGCCTAGTAAATATTTCTTCATCCTTTTACTTTGAGCCTGTGGGTGTCATTACATGTGAGATGGGTCTCTTGAAGACAGCAGGCAGTTGGCTCTTGGCTTTTTATCCACGTTGCCACTCTATGCCTTTTATGTGGGGAATTTAGGCCATTTACATTTCTTCTCCTGATATATCCTTTTTATATTTTTATGATTGCCTTTTAAAATATATTGAATGGTTGTAATTCCAGGGAAATGTCTTTCAGAACAGTATTTATTCCCATCTACATGTTTTGGAGAGTGCACTAGGGGACATTGAAGTTTATTTCCTGAAAAGAGTTTAATTTTAAAATGTATTTTATTTAATAACTCAATGATTCAGGGAATGTCTAGGTATTTCAGAGATTGTTTTAGACAGTTTGTTTTCTTGTGATATGTGACCACTTCATCTAAGCTGAATAATGTCTTCATAATGTCCACTTAGAATCTTTTGAATTCTGTAGGATCTGTACTGATGTCATTGTTTCCTTTCTGATATTGGTAATTTTCCTGGGGTAGGATTCTTAGCTCCTCCTGAGGTCCTGCCTCTAAAATTCAGGGAACAATGAGTCAGATTAGTACTCTGATTTCAAAGGGAAAGCTGATCATCTACCATTTTTTGTTTATGTAAATGGACACATTAACATCCCTTGTCTGAACCTTAGTTACCTTGTTTGGAGCATTTTGCTATAAATCTCACTTCTCAGAGTGGTTGTGGGGCTTGATGTGGCTGGGGTATGGGATGGCTTAAACATAATTTATTTCCAGACCAGGTTAAGGCATGAAGGGGTTGGGACTTGTTAGAATCCTGTTGTCGGACTCCACAGTAAGGGTAGACATTTGAGGCACCCAATCAAAAACCTCAGTTGTTCCTAGCACTGAGAAATTTGATAGAATGTTTCTAAAACATTATTCATGGTCTAATGCACAAAAAGTAAAGTGATAGCCCTGGAAGTAGACAGGGAACCATAAGAAAAAAGAGAGAGCAAAGCTCAGTGGTCACCAGTGCCTGGGACCATCAAGGGGTTATTAAGGAGGAAGTTTCCACCTCTGTGGGGAACAGAAGAGGCTCCCTAGGGTCCACACACACAGGGAGTGAGCCAAGACTCTGGGCGAGGCTGGAAGCTCTGGGTCTCCTTCTGTGAGATTTTCTTTTTTTTTTTTGAGATGGAGTCTTGCTCTGCCACCCAGGCTAGAGTGCAACGGCGCGATCTCGGCTCATGGCAACCTCTGCATAAAGTGGTATGTATTTAAGGCATGCATTAGACAAATTACTAAGTATTTACTAGATAAGAAAAAATTATATCTGAATCTTTTCAAATTGCCGTCTTATGCATTATATTCTCTTTTTATAGTGCAATTTCTTAATAGTTAATGCCAGAAGATTTTTTTTTCTTCCTTTCTTTCTTTCTTTTTTTTTTTTTTTTGAGACAGAGTCTCACTCTGTTGCCAGGCTGGAGTGCAGTGGCACGATCTCGGCTCACTGCAACCTCCGTCTCTCGGGTTCATGCCATTCTCCCGCCTCAGCCTCCTGAGAAGCTGGGACTACAGGCACCCTCTACCATGCCCAGCTATTTTTTTTTTTTTTTTTGTATTTTTAGTAGAGACGGGGTTTCACCATGTTCGCCAGGATGATCTCTGTCTCTTGAACTCGTGATCCACCTGCCTTGGCTTCCCAAAGTGCTGGGATTACAGGCATGAGCCACTGCACCTGGTCGCCAAAAGATATTTTTAAAAACCTAAATGCCACTTGAAATGAATAAGACCCTCAATAATTCATGGGATATACATGTGAACTTATGACATATGATGAAATAAGCAGGTTACAAAATTGTAATATATCAAGCAAGGTAGAAAGCCATGGCAGAAAAAGAGACAAGCATTTTCAAGATAAGGAATGAAAGAGGGGAAACAGTACTATTGATTTTACAGATTTTACAAAGATATCTTAGGTGTGTTTTCCTAAATAATAAATGTACCCTCCTTTTGACCTTTATGTAATGAAATAACCATGCACACATTTTCAAATAATACTTCATTTACTTGACTTTATGCTTGAAAATTGAAGTATGGTGCTGTTTGTTATTTTCATTTATGCATTTTACTACCTTGTAATATTCCACTGAGTCTATTTACCACACTATGTTTATTTTTTTCGTAGGTGGACTTTGGTATTTTATAGCTTTGGCTAATAGGAACAGCATTCCTATAACAGTTGTGAGTGTATCATGACACATAAGTAGACATTTATCTCTAGGGTACATAATTAAGTACATAATTAAGAAGGGTCACAGCCATGTGCCTCCTCTTTTTAACTAGATAATTCCAATACACTTCCTTAATTGATTAAAGCAATTTGTACTCTTACTATTAATGTACTAAAATTCTACATGTTCAATATTCTTTCCAAAAAATGATTTTGCTACTTTTTTCTTTTCTTGAGACTGAGTCTTGCTCTATCACCCAGGCTGTAGTGATCTCGGCTCACTGCAACCTCCGCCTCCTGGGTTCATGCGATTCTCGTGCCTTGGCCTCCCAAGTAGCTGGGATTACAGGCAGGCGCCACCATGTCTGGCTAATTTTTGTATTTTTAGTAGAGACAGCGTTTCACCATGTTGGCCAGGCTGGTCTCGAACTCCTGACCTCAGGTGATCCTCCTGCCTCGGCCTCCCAAAGTGTTGGGATTACAGGCATGAGCCACCACACCCGGCCTATTTTTTTCTTTTCCCTCCATTGTGCTATGATTTTTGACATTACAATTTTACTGAAACTACACCATAAGAATGAAGCAGAAATTATTATAACCTTTAAATAAACTTTACAACTGGTTCATACTCGTGTGAACGACAATTCTTTTGACTACTTCCCAACTGTGCATTCAATGGCGTCATATGGGCACCCTGAAGTTGGCCATAAAGGACGTATTTATACCACACTAATCAGCAAATACCATAAATCTGGGGCTTTATATGTTCAGAGTTTTCTTAAGAAAATAATTTTTTCAGAGAGCCAGTTTAACAGAATACCATGAGGCTGAGCCTTCGAGCGTTAGTGTGCTCATTCTGAGAGATGATATTTCTGGACAAAGTACACAGGTATCATCCGATGAAGAGTGAAGGGAATTCAGGGTCCAGAGAGGGTGCTAGGGCATCATTTCAGACTCATATTTCCCTTTTTTTTTTTTTTTTTGGAGATGGAGTCTTGCTCTGTTGCCCAGGCTGGAGTGCAGTGGCAAGATCTTGGCTCACTGCAACCTCCGCCTCCCGGGTTCAAGCTATTCTCCCGCCTCAGCTTCCTGAGCAGCTGGGATTACAGGTGCTCACTGCCACACCCAGCTAATTTTTGTATCTTTTAGTAGAGACAGGGTTTCACCATGTTGGCCAGGTTGGTCTCGAACTTCTGACCTCAAGTGATCCGCCCACCTCAGCCTCCCAAAGTGCTGGGATTACAGGTGTGAGCCACTGTGCCTGGCCTCAGACTCATGTTTCAAAGTCCCAAATACAAATCTGCCCACCTATTCCAGTTATTTAATCCAGATCTATGCTCAGAACTGAAAAGATGGAGAATCAATAGTTCACTTTAGAGAATGCGGTAGTTGGAAACAAAGACAAATGTATTACATGACAGTGGACCAGAGCACGTGATCGCAGGGGTGTGGATGCAAACCCACCATGGGGGACGTGCCTTCACATCACAGAGAGCGAAAGGAAGGGAGGGGCAGACACGGAGGATCCACAACAGCAGGACTGAAAGCACTGCCATTTAATGGAAGTTTAATGGAGGAAGCGTTCTCTACAGGCACCCAGACATCTTCCTGAACCTGACCCAAGCCTCCCCTTCTCGACTTTCTCAGTAGACGGTTTCCCGAATGATGGTCCAGACTTTCTTCCAGAACCTCCTAGGACTATCAGATTCATTGCCAAGGCTCTGGCACTCTGAAGGGTGCATTGTTCTCTCATGTATTTACCTCCTTGCTGCATCTTGGGGACTTCTCTAGCTGTGCCAGTCCTAAAGCAGCAGAATCCCGAGGACCACCAGGACCAAGCCAGCCACAGCCACGCGGATGAGATTCTCCACTGTGTAATCCTGGGGGTGTGAGGCTGGGGATGGTGGACCAAGAGGTCTCAGAGGTCAGGGCAGATCAACATCACCCGGGACCCCTGGATGTCCACCCAGGGCACCCACCTCCCCTTCACAGGACCTGACCCTCTGTGCCAGCCCCATAACCGAGAGCATCTCCTTACACACCAGTCTTGGAGTCTGTCTTGTTTTGCGATGGGCTGAGGGTCTCAGCTGCTCCTGAGAATCAACCAAAAAAGGGGGAGGTGTGTGAGGAGTTGAAGAGACTTAAGCCAACATGTCCCTCAGTTGCTGCATTCCTTTGTGTCTACACTTCTCCTAACTGCTCTGTAGTTGTGTGATAGAACCTTTCCCTGCCGTGGCAGAGGTACATTCGCATACATACATACATATATGCATAGGTGTAAATATGTGTGTATACATAATATGTGTTATGCATATGTGTATACATAATATGTATTATGCATATGTGTATAGATAATATGTATTATGCATATGTGTATGCATAATATGTATTATAAGATATAGTGTGAGTATATATAAATATATAATATATAAGATATATAATAGTGTGTGTATACATATAAATATATAATAAGATATGTAATAGTGTGTGCATATATAAATATATAATATATAATAAGATATATAATAGTGTGTATATATAAATATATAATACATAATATATTATAAGATATATAATAGTATGTATATATAAATATATAATACATAATATATAAGATATATAATAGTGTGTGTATATATAAATATATAATACATTATATATTATAAGATATATAATAGTATATATAAATATATAGTACATAATATATAATAAGATATATAATAGTGTGTGTATACATATAAATATATAATAAGATATGTAATAGTGTGTGCATATATAAATATATAATATATAATAAGATATATAATAGTGTATATATATAAATATATAATACATAATATATTATAAGATATATAATAGTATGTATATATAAATATATAATACATAATATATAAGATATATAATAGTGTGTGTATATATAAATATATAATACATTATATATTATAAGATATATAATAGTATATATAAATATATAGTACATAATATATAATAAGATATATAATAGTGTGTGTATACATATAAATATATAATAAGATATGTAATAGTGTGTGCATATATAAATATATAATATATAATAAGATATATAATAGTGTATATATATAAATATATAATACATAATATATTATAAGATATATAATAGTATGTATATATAAATATATAATACATAATATATAAGATATATAATAGTGTGTGTATATATAAATATATAATACATTATATATTATAAGATATATAATAGTATATATAAATATATAATACATAATATATAATAAGATATATAATAGTGTGTGTATATATAAATATATAATACATAATATATATTATAAGATATAATAATGTGTGGGTAATATAAATATATAATACATAATATATAAGATATATAATAGTGCATATATAAATATATAATACATAATATATATTATAAGATATAATAATGTGTGGGTATATATAAATATATAATACATAATATATATTATAAGATATAATAATGTGTGGGTATATATAAATATATAATACATAATATATAAGATATATAATAGTGTATATATAAATATATAATACATAATATATATTATAAGATATATAATAGTGTGTGAGTATATATAAACACATACATATATATTTGAAGTGAGAAGAGTATTATATAATTTAGAAACAAACAAGTTTGTCCTCCATTTTCTTGTGGTTAATGTAATTATTATCAATAAATCAGAAGAGATCATTTCGGAAAGGATTGAAAGGGAGTGTGTCTGTGGTAAGTTAATAGGAACTAAAATTAGCATACCCAAACCAATAGCTTTCTCATCCATACGTAACTAATTTTAGAAAATAGAAAGGAATCAAAGACTTTCAAATTATTCAAGTAGTAAAACAATGCTTAAAATTCACAATGTCCACAATTTTTATGAATACAACTTCAAGCATCTGCTAACTGTATAAAGTTTAATTTTAAATGTATTGGATACAAAGACATTATTAATGAGAAGTTATTCTCCATCATGAATGCACATATTTAATTTAATCCCAAAGAAAATCAGAGCACAGTTATTTTACATCATAACGCTACCTAACAAATTAAATGTGTAAATTATAAATGCCAGCATTGCTTTGAAATCTTCAGAAACAGAAAGAGAAACTAGATATGTGGACATAAAAAATAAAGGACAGAAAGGAATTGCACACGAGGTTTGCTGTTGAATAATTTGCCTGCATTGCTGCAGTGAGCAGGTGCATGATCTCCCCTTCGTCTCAGGTATGCACTGAGTATTTTGGGGCCGCCAGGGGAGCCCAGGTGGGGAGTGGGTGGGGCCTCCATCTTCTACCCTCAGCCTAAGCATGATTCCTCCAAGGTTTCTCCATATCTCATTTCAGCCCTCCCTGGCCTTTAGCCCCATCTGAGGTCTCTGGGGTGGGAGCCCAGGATTAGGAGGTCCCTGACTATTTCCACCCTCTCATGGGCTGGGCCCTCCCCTGCCGACCCTCCCCCTTTACTCCCCTCTTTCCTTAGCGTCCTGAGCTCTCCTGGGGGCAGGGCCTGAGCTGAGGTTTGAGCTCAGAGAGGACAGGGTCAGCGGCCTCACCTGAGACCACGAGCTCCAGGGGGTCACTGGGGTGAGACAGCAGGTAGGGGAAGAATCTGCGTGAGCTGTAGCACCTGTAGGTCCCCGCGTGGGCTGAGGTCACAGGACTCATGGGGAATTCAGCCTGGTGCTGCTGAGCTTGGTGCTCTGATCTCAGACGCAGTGGGTGATGGGCTGCCCCCTCCTTGGTCAGAAGGAAAGTGTCCAACTGCTCCCGTGACTGACACAGCAGGGTCACGTTCTCTCCTGAGGCCACCGTGGGGCCCGGCTGCACCGAGAGGGAGGGTCTGCCACGGATCTGTCCTGGAGAGAAGAAGGATGGGTGAGGGGCTGCCCCACCTCGTTCTGAGCTGACACCTCCCCAGGCCTCTCCCTGGGACCCTCAGTGTCTCTGTCTCTGTTTTCTCTGAGTCTCCCCCTCCCCGCCCATCCCCTGTCTCTGTCTGTCTCTCCGTCCCTTAGGACCCCCACCCCTCATCCCGGCCATCACCACCTGGGCTCCCCCAGCAGGGCCTGTGCGGAGCCTGGGTCCCTGACTGAACCTGCTGGGCTCCTCACCTGCGATCAGGATGCTCAGGGGGTCACTGGGGGCCGACCACTCGGAGGAGAGGTTGTGTGCACCGTAGCATCTGTACTGGCCCCCGTGGGAGACCCTCACAGGGCCCAGGGTGAAGTTGGCCTGGGAGAGCCCAGCCTGGGGCTGCCGGCCAGAGCCCTGGACGAGGTCATGTCCCCCCTCCTTGTACAGAGTGAATTTGTCATAGCCGACATCAGAGCCACACTGGAGGGTCAGATTCTCCCCAGGGGCCACGACAGGGCCCTGCAGGGTCAGGAGGGAGGGCTTCCTAGACACGCCTGGAGGGAAAGAAGAGTCGGGACTAGGAGGGCTGGTTCCTCCCACACCCCTTCCTTCTCCCCTCCTGGCCCTGCAGGTCTCACTGTCTCTCACACTCAGTGTCTCTGGGCTCAGGAGTCCCAAACTTCCCTTGTTCCACCCTCCTACATGGGGCTCCGTGAGAGTAAGTTCTCAAAAATAAATAGGGCAAGGAGGAAGACATCCATACCTAAGACCAGGATCTCCATGGTATCACTGGGTTCCGACCACACCCAGGGGAAGTTCGTGTAATGCCCATAGCATCTGAACATCCACCGGTGACTGGCAGCCACACGGCCCACAGGGAACAGGGCCAGGGACAAGGGACAGCCCCTTGGAGAGTTCCTGTGAGTCCAGCATCCAGGAGAGCTTGTTTTCTCCTTCCTCAATCAAAATGAACCTGTGAAATCCCACCCTTGAGCTACACTGGATGGTCACGTTCTCTCCTGAGGTCACCACAGGGCTCGGCAGGGCTGAGAGAGTGGGTTTTCTGTGGGCTCCTAGGAGAGAAGGAGACACTGTCTTAAATGGGGCTCACGCGTCCCACATCATCCCCCAGGGCTGAGTTATTAGAACGGAGATGCCCTTGAGAGCTGACCCCCTTCCTGCAGGCAGAGCCTGGGGCTGGGACCCCTGAGTGTCCTCTTACCTGTCACCACCAGCTCCAGGGGCTCGCTGCGCTCTGACCAGCCTGCAGGGCTGAGATAGTGACAGTGGTATCTCCCTGCATGGTGCTCTCTCATGGATGGGATGAAGAAGTTGGTCTTGTTCCTGGGCTCTGGTGGGCTCTGTTGGTACCAGGTCATGGGGTTTCCTTCCTTGGTGAGATAGTAACCCTGGGTATCCAGGGTCCCCTGGCACCAGAGGGTCATGGGGCTCTCCCAGGTAATCACAGAGCCTGGCTCAGCCCAGAGGCTGGGTTTGGGGAGGGTCCCTGGAAGAAACCACAGGCTGGGGTCCACAGACCTCCCCCGCTCCTCATTCCCAGCTCAGGTCACAGACCCTCTTGATTTTCTCACCCTCAGTTCAGAAGCCCCTGAGATGAGAGTCCAGGTGCTGAGTGTGAGGTCAGGCATGGGAGGTTAGCAGAGACTCACCTGCAAGTGCTTGGGCTTTCTGGCCCAGACTCAGCCATGGAGAAGAGTTTCCTGTGGGGGATTTGGAACACAGAGGTGTGGCTGCTTCCCTTCCTGTTGGAGCACCAGTAGCCACTGGAGCCCTGAGGCTCTCTGGTGAACAAGGCTGCTGTGGGACCCTCCCCACCTCAGCCCAGTGCCCCTCCTGTCCCTCGTCTCTCCACCACTGACTGAGGCACAGAAGAACAGTGAGGATGGACACCATGATGCCTGCTCTGCGTGCTCCAGCTGTGGGACAGGTGACCACATGGCCCTCCATGACAGACAGATGCACGGATGTGGTTAAGTCAGAGCCTGCTGCCGCCTGCCTGGGTCCCCACAGCTGTGAACCCACAGGAAGTGGACAGCCCCTTGCTGGGCCTGTCTCTTATTCCCCCCCCAGTGCAGGGGCTCAGGAGGACCCAGGCCCTCTGCACACATCTCAGCCCAGACCTGAGGTGTCCCCTGATTGCCAGGGATCCTTTGTCTGAAAACCTGCCCGTGGAGGGTGGACCCAACATCATATCTATGTCAGCTCCCAACTTAGCTGGGTCTAAACTGAAAACACAGCCCTTATTTTCTCAGAGCCTCCACTCATGACATCGGCTTTCTTTTTCCCCACTGATGCAAAGACAAATATTTCCCAGCAGAAAGTCATCCTGATCTGGAGAGACCCATTTCCTGCGTTCAGTAAATAAAGTCAGTTTCATTAGGGGAGGCTCTGGGAAAATAAGGGGATGCAGACTAGCAGAAGATGAACATTTAGCTACTTGTTTCTCAATTAATTGATTTATTACCAAAGAGAGAGAAGTGGAAACATGAGAATAGGGACCATGACTAGAATGTGGTTGAGGGAATGGTTTCTATCTTATTCCCTGGCAGAGAACTAAGGGATAAGAATGAGAAAGCTGGCTGGGTGCAGTGGCTTACACCTGTAATCCCAGCACTTTGGGAGGCCGAGGCAGGAAGATCACAAGGTCAGGAGTTCAAGACCAGCCTGACCAACATGGTGAAACCCCTGTCTCTACTAAAAATACAAAAACTAGCTGGGTGTGCTGGCATGCGCCTGTAATCCCAGCTACTAGGGAGGCTGAGGTGGGAGAATCGCTTGAACCTGGGAGGTGGAGCTTGCAGTGAGCCGAGATCGCGCCACTGCACTCCAGCCTGGGCAACAAAGCCGGACTGTCTCAAAAAAAAAAAAAAAAAAAAAAAAAAAGAAAGAGAGAAAACCCAGCAGTGAGAGGTAGTTGTGAGAACACACTAAAGAGGAAAGATAATCCAGGGCTGGGAGTGGTGGCTCATGCCTGTAATTCCAGCACTTTGGGAGGCTGAGGCTGGCAGATCACAAGGTCAGGAGTTCGAGACCAGCCTGACCAACATGGTGAAACCCTGTGTCTACTAAAAATGCAAAAATTAGCTGGGTGTGGTGGTGGGTGCCTGTAATCCCAGCTACTCAGGAGGCTGAGGTGGGAGAATCGCTTGAACCCAGGAGACGGAGGTTGCAGTGAGCTGAGATTGCACCACTGCACTCCAGCATAGGCAACAAAGCCAGACTCTGCCAAAAACAAAAACAAAAACAAAAACAAAAACAAAAAACAAGAAAGCTCAGTGAGAGGTGGTTGTGAGAACACACTAAAGAGGAAAGATCATTCAGGGCTGGGAGTGGTGACTCACGCCTGTAATCCCAGCACTTTGGGGGGCCACAGGCGGGTGGATTACCTGAGGGCAGGAGTTCAAGACCAGTCTGGCCAACATGGTGAAACCTCGTCTCTACTAAAAATACAAAAACTAGCTGGGTGTGATGGCGGGTGCCTGTAATCCCAGCTACTTGAGAGGCTGAGTCAGGAGAATCTCTTGAACCCAGGAGGCAGAGGTTGCAGTGAGCTGGGATCGTGCCACTGTACTCTAGCCTGGGTAACAGAGCAAGGCTCTGTCTCAAAAAAATAAAAATTAGAAAGAAAAAAGGAGAAGGAGAAGAGGAAGGAGACAGAAAGGAGAGAAACATCCCTGAGGTGGAACATTACATGCAACATGGAGTAGGCAGGGAATCCGATAGAGCACTGAAACTCTCGCTGGGTACGGTGGCTAACATCTGTACTCCCAGCACTTTGGGTGGCCGAGGTGGATGGATCACCTGAGGTCAGGAGTTTAAGACCAGCCTGACCAACATGGTGAAACCCCATCTCTACTAAAAATACAAAAGGCTGGGTGTGGTGGCTCACGCCTGTAATCCCAACACTTTGGCAGTCTGATACAGGCGGATCACATGAGATCAGGAGTTTGAGACCAGCCTGGCCAAGATGGCAAAACCTCATCTCTACTAAAAATACAAACATTACCTGGCTGTGGTGGCAGTCGCCTGTAATCCCAGCTATGCAGGAGGCTGAGGCAGGAGAATCGCTTGAACCTGAGAGGTGGAGGTTGCAGTGAGTCAAGATCGTGCCATTGCACTCCAGCCTGGCCAATAGGAGCAAAACTCCATGTGAAAATAAAATAAAATAAAATAAAATATAATAAAATAAAATAATAAATCAAAAAAGGACTGGACATCTCCTGTGGGTTGTCAGTGAATGGAACTAAGCAAGCCACCGCTCTTTCCCTTTTGTCCCGCAAGTGTCTTTCTTGGCCTCCAGGAAGTGAGTTCCATCATGTCAGACCCTATGTTTGTTCCTGCTGGGTTCACTGAGGCTCCTCCCTTTCCACCTGTGGCTCCCCATGGGTTCCCAGTCCCCAGCCAGTGTTGTGAATCGAGCCAGGAAGACCAGCCCTATCACACCCCTCCTGATGGAATTCCCACAGTGTCATCCTGGAGAACAGGGGCTGGGGGCTGGGGTAGGATCAGAGACCTTTTCATGTGGGCCAGGCCCCTCCCTCCACAGGAGCTCTGACACGAAGCTCATCACCATTCATTTCACCCTGACGATATTCTTCCTGCCCAGACACCCCCGTTCTCCCTATGTCATCATGGGCACCTCAGTGAAATCCATGGTTGAGGGTCTCTGTCACTTACTCTGCCCTCTTCTTGGAAAATTTCCTTGGATCCTTCCAGAGCCCTTCCTGAGTGTGCTGCAGGGTCTCTGCCACATGACACACTCTCAGGAACCCTCATCCTCCCCTTAATCTACTGCGCCCACATAGCCAGGTGCAGGCTCCGTTTCTTCATCTTCCCTTCCCCACAGGCCCCGATGGAGAGTGGATTAGACTCGCTCCTGAGTAGGGACTCAGGTCACTCTGACCCCTTCCTCCCTGTGGACGAGGCCTCTGTCCCAGAGCTTTGGAGGCTGAAGGGCCTTGTGGATTCCCGCACTGGCCACAGTCTCCGATGCAGATGGGGAACTGGGGACCTGGGAGGGGTTGCCTAGCCCAAGGCCACATAGCTGGGCGGTGGCACAGCCTTCACTCACACAGGGACATTCCATCTTCCCAGGGACTTCACACTGGAGGCTAAGAGCCCCACTTTGCACACCACATTCAGGGGTAGATTCTGTGTGTGACTAACAAGTTCTCTTAGGGTTCCGAGGTAACAGGACAGCAAATGGATGAGTGAGAGTTTCCCTCACCCCACTGAAGTAGGACCATTCTCTGTGGAGGGTTGGTCCCCTGACTTCCTCTACTCTGTCATCTCCCTAGTGACTGATAGGGGTCCTGGGGTCTCTTCCCTGGAATCCCATGAGGGACAATTCCTTTCCTGAAGGGAAGGTATAGAGAGGACTAGCAGGTGCCTGGTGATGGAAAGTCCCCATAATCAAGAGACATTGCCTCCCCCCCCCGGCATGATAAATATCTGGGTTTCCAAATGGGAAATCTGTCTGTGATGAGAGCTCAGGAGGGGCTTCTGGAAGATGGAAAAGGGCTAGAGGCTGAGGCCACTGCTTATCTCCCCACACTGTATCTGGCTTCACCTCCTGTGTTTGTCCTGACCTCTTCCTTCACTCACCTGGATAAGTAGGACCCCAAAGTGGGCCTCCAGACAGGAAGCAGTGGAGAGTGTGGAGCTGCCCTGTCTACCACCCTACACCCTGACACCACTGTCATACTCAACCTCTCTTTTCCTCTTTGTGTTTCTCATTGCTTCATTTTGTCTGGAATCCCTAAGATTCCCATGTCTCCAGCAGGCTGTCCCTCAGACGTGGCTATATGATTTAGTGTTTCACAGGGCATGCAGCAGGCATGGGCTACCCCCAGTAACAGTGGTCATCTAGGGCTGATCACTCACAGGCAGAGCCATCGACAGAGAGCTGCAGCATCTAGAGGTCCCATCACCAGCCCCAAGACCCAGAGAGAAGTTGGCCTGAATGCCCCACTCTGTCTCTGCACCCCAGTGAGCCAGTGTCCAGGGGCCTTACCTTCCTCGTTAGAAGGCACAGGTCAAATGAGCTTCCAGAGCTGCAGAGCAAAGTCACATTCTCTCCATCATTACTTACTGCAGGGCACAGTTGAGCTGAGAAGGAAGGTCTCTTGTAGACGCCTGGGGAAAAAAATAGTCCTTGACTGTCGAGCACAAG
The DNA here is from genome assembly GCF_000001405.40 of Homo sapiens. NCBI lineage: Eukaryota > Metazoa > Chordata > Mammalia > Primates > Hominidae > Homo > Homo sapiens. The sequence continues at coordinate 5,539 of NW_016107307.1, read as the reverse complement.
CCTTACCCAGCCTATCCTCAGGGCATGAAAAAGGCATTCTCTCCACCTGTTCTGGGGAGCACACTCTGTTACCCACTCGTGCCTCTCTCCATCTCAGTTCTAGCTCTACAAGCTGGCTCATCATGTGTGTGTTTTCCTGTCTGTCTTTGCTCAGCTTTTCCTTGAATCTCTTGCTTTTTGCCGGTGCGTGTGTGGCTTTCTGCCCTTAGAACCATATGAGATTTAGGGTTCTCCTGGCACATAGAACTGTTTACTTTGAGGACCCTCAGAAAACATAGCCCTGGGCTAAGGCTCCCTGTCCTGGAACTAGAAGGTTATGGGTGTCACCATTTCCCAACAGCATGTCTGAAAGTGCCAGAATCTTCAAAGAGTCTGCAACATGTTTGTAGGATCTTTATAGGGTCTGATATTGCAGGGACCAACCAAAGTGCCCTCACACCCCAAGACGCTGGAAGTGACCCCTTGCTGAAAGTGGTTGGAAGTTTCACATAGAAGTTTGAGTTAAGCCACATTGCTGAGCAATGCCTCAGCATCCCAGTCTTCATCCAGACCTTCCAGGAGCCTGGCTGGAGGGGGTGTCTCTGGTGTGTCACTGAGCCTTATAGCAGAGGAAGGGGGCTATGGTGGAAACTACCTCCAAGATACCACTCAGTCCTAAGCTGGGGAACAAGCTGAGCTTGGATTCTGGTAGTGAATGAACCGGGAAACATTTATTTGAAGGGTTCTAAGAGTAGCATCGTGTGGGTGCGTTAATTGTATGTGAAGGGGAAGATCCTGAGAAAACAAGAGCTGCTCCACTCTGTGCCTGGGTTTACCAGAGGGACCGATGAGGTCCTCACAAGACCCAGGAATCCCACCGGGGGAAGGAGGCTTAGGGAGATGTGTTTAAGACTGTTAAGTGAGTCACAGACAGAAGCAGATCAAGCCATCCCACCACCTAGGTTTGTGGTTTTGTTTCTCCTAAACTTCCTTTCTGTAAGTAGCAGAACCTTCTCATCACCATCCTTCAAAACCTCTGCATTGTTTGAGCTCCTTGTATTTTCTGGAGATTAATCTCTTGCTTGCAAATATTCTTTCCCATTCTGTAGGTGGTCTCTTCACTCTGCTGTTTGTTTCCTTGATTGTGCAGAAGGTTTGCAGTTTGCTATGATCTCATTTGCCTATTTTTGCTTTTGCTGCCTGAGCTTTTGAGGGTTTTTTTTTTTTGTTTTTTTTTTTGAGACGGAGTCTCGCTCTGTCACCCAGGCTGGAGTTCAGTGGCATGATCTCAGCTCATTGCAACCTCCGCCTCCCGGGTTCAAGTGATTCTCCTGCCTCAGCCTCCCTAGTAGCTAGGACTACAGGCGAGTGCCACCACACCCGGCTAATTTTTGTATTTTTAGTAGAGGCAGGGTTTCACCACGTTTGGCCAGGCTGGTCTCAAACTCCTGACTTCAAGTGATCCACCCACCTTGGCCTCCCAAAGTGCTGGGATTACAGGCGTGAGCCACTGCGCCCGGCGTTGTATTGGATTTTTAATTCAGCCCTATTTTCTCCGACATTTGATATTGGCATTTTTGTCTTTTTTGGATATGCTAGGATCATGGTGTCATAATTTAATTTTAATTTTTATTTTTATTTTAAGTTCCGGGGTACATGTGCAGAATGTGTGGGCTTATTGCATAGGTCAATGTGCGCCATGGTGGTTTCCTGCACCTGTCAACCCATCACCTAGGTATTAAGCCCAGCATACATTAGCTATTTTTCCTAATGCTCTCCCTACCCCTACCCCACCCCCCCCCCGACAGGCCCCAGTGTGTGTTGTTCCCCTCCCTGTGTTCACGCATTCTCATTGTTCAGCACCCACTTGTAAGTGAGAACATGCAGCGTTTGATTTCCTGTTCCTGTGTTAGTTTCCTGAGGATAATGGTTTCCAGCTCCATCCATGTCCCTGCAAAGGACATGATCTTGTTTCTTTTTATGGCTTCATAGTATTCCGTGGTGTATATGTCTCACATTTTCTTTATCCAGTCTATCATTGATGGGCATTTGGGTTGATTCTATGTCTTTGCTATTGTGAATAGTGCTGCGATGAACACATGTGTGCATGTATCTTTGCAATAGAATGATTTATATTCCTTTGGGTATACGCGCAGTAATGGGACTGCTTTTACCTGTGCCAAAATACTGAAGTAGAAATGATTATTCACTCTAAAATGGAAGGTAATAAGATGTATACGTGAGCTATCAGATGCCTGGTGCTTATGAGTGAAGACAAGTCTGTCCAACGCTTCCCAACCCTGCATTCAGGGATGTCTCGTTGGCATCTTGATTATGGCCATGAAAAAAGAATTTACGTCAAGGAAATTGGTAAATGCCACTAATCATAGCATTTCAAAAAATGTCTTTTTCAGAATTAGCATACCATTGGGTCGTGACTTCAAATGCCAGTGTGTTGATTCCAGGTGGTGATATTTCAGGAGAAACTACACAGATAGCATCTGATAAGGAGGGAAGAGCTCATAGGGTCCACACAGGAGGTGAGGGCATCACGGTGCATTTATCTTTTCCTGGTCGGACTCTGATCTTCTCCCGTTGAATTAGTTCCTAAACCAGGTGCGGAACTCTGAACTGAAGACATGAAGACCCAGTAAAGTACACCAGGAAGTGTGGCAATGAGAAATGAAGAGGACTGTGTGACACGCCATGGACCAGAGCATGCAGGTGTGCAGAGGTGTGGACCCAACGCTGCCATGTGGGATGGAGCCTCATGTCTAAGTGTGGGAAAAGAGGCAGATCCAACCAAGGAAAGTCAACATTAATGGAGAGGAAAGGTATCACATTTTAATGGTTCTCCATGGATCACCCCAGAAAATGTCCCTGCACTCGGACATTGATTCCTTCCTCTGGAAATGACCAGCAGACAGTCCAGATAGCATCGGCCCTAGATTTTCTTCCAGAACCTCCTGGGATCATCAGATCTGTTCCTGAGGCTTCACGACTCTATAAAGTACATTATCCTCTCTGCTGTTCACCTCCCGGCTGCATCTTGGGAAGCTTCTCTGGCTGTGCCAAGCCTCAAATGACAGAATCCCGAGGACCACCAGGATCAAGCCAGCCACGCCCATGTGGATGAGATTCTCCACTGCGTAATCCTGAAGGTGTGAGGCTGGGGATGGTGGACAAAGAGGTCACAGAGGTCAGGGTGGATCAGATTGTCCACCCAGGGCACCCACCTCCCCTTCACAGGACCCAACCCTCAGTGCCAGCCCCATCACTGAGAGTATCTCCTCACATACCAGTCTCAGAGTCAGACTTGTTTTGTGATGGGCTGAGGGTATCAGCTGCTCCAGAGAATCAAAACAGAGAAAAAGAGACCTGAGCCCAGCCTCTCACCTGGGCTCTGCAATTTTTTTTTTATTACTTAATGTCTCATGATGTGACTTTTACAGAATTTCTAAAAAAAAAAAAAAAAAACCTCTTCCTCCGCTAGCAGGATTCCCTCTAGTCTCCTCATTGAACGATTTCAGTTTTCCTGTGTTCTATGGATTTAAACATTGCTCCTGAGTCATCTGGGAGAGAGTTTTCCTGCATCCTGAGAGCTCAGGATCTGCAAGGAAAGTGGTCCCCAGTACAGAGGTCACTAAGGCCTGTGTGCTCTCTGTGCAGCCTGGGACACAGGAGAACATGAGCCAACTCCCCCGGAGATGAGAGTTTCACGGATCCACCAGCTGAGGACCCAGGCTCCGTGGATGAGGGTTAGTCATCAGGGGAGCCTCAATGTCAGAAGCACAAAGGGGTGAAATTCTGGGGCTGCCTCCCCTTCATGCCCTCAGCCACTTCACCTGGAGTTTCATTGTCCATTTAATCTCTAGGTAGCTAATTATTCGTATAGGCAGCAACAGGTAGAATGTGATACACACACAGAAAAACACAAACACAAATATATATCTGTTTTATATATATAGTGGGCCTTAAAAACTATCTCTGCCTTCTTGAAGTGTGGGTTCACCTGGAGACAAACAGCAAACATATAGAAACACAGCAGTGGAAATTTACTAGTCGTAGCAATGGTTTTAGATATATTGGTAGAGACCTATATTTATGTGTGAATATATATTATTTGTATAGATATACGGATAACTAGGTTTCAATGTCACGTAAGATGTTGGTGTGACCACACACGCGCACACACACACACACACGTATATGCAGAGAGTGGAAGAGAGAGAGAAGGAATTCAGCCGCATGGTGTAGGTTGGTTAATTACTTGACATAAATGAGAAGCAGGCAGGACTGGGCTGAGCTGTGTCGTCAGTGAAGGTCACACTTGGAGGTGACATTGAAGCTGATTCCTCAATAGGAAAAAGGGCCAGGAAGGAGGCGTGTGGAGACCCAGACAGGGAGCAACAGAGGCTCCAGAAAGAGCAGGTCCCAGAAAGGTCTCAGCCTGTTCTTCAGAAAGGAATGGCCGCTTGTCTACAGGGTGGAGGAGGAGGCAGAGGAGGAGGGGAGATGAGCTTCGGGGCCTTGGTGGATTGAGAATAGGCCAGGATGAACCGGCCAGGAAAGAGCGGCCCCAATATCTCTCTCTCTGTCTCTCTGTCTCTGTCTCTGCCTCTCTCTCCCTCCCTCTGAGGTCTGGAAAGTGCTGTAGGGTTTCAAGGAGTGGTACCAGTCATTTGACTTTTTCTGAAAAGATAAGCCCTACCCCCTCCATAGCAAATGTCCAGAACGAAGGAAGTCCACATTTCTACCTGAAGTTTACAAAACCTCAGGGAGCACGTGAGATCAGGGCTATTACGAAACCGGGTGAGAATAAAAATAGGTGATGCTGCAAATCTACTTTCACCAGCTTGGACAAAAAGGCCAATATGAGATTTTAAAAACCCAAATAAAAAATGTCAACGGCGCAGAAGAGGAGCGGTGCACATTCCCTGAGCTGCTGCGGGAGCACGTGCAAGTCCCTGTGAGGCTCAGGTGTGCGCTGAGTGCTGGGGAGGCTGCAGGGGAAAGCAGGAAGTGGGGCGGGGTGGGGGGGGGTCGGGGGTGGATGCAGGTGGCACCGGCAGCCTGGATGCTTCTCTCTCCAGGAGGGCGTCTGTTGGGGACTGGGACACAGAGGCTCTGATTCTGAGGTGGAGACACCAGGATGGGAGCAGGTGGGGCCTCCGTCTTCCACCCTCAGTCTAATCTCAACTCCTTTGAGGTTCACCCCCCGTCTCCTCCCAGCCCTCCCTGCACTTTACTCTACTGAGACTTCAGGGGTGGGAGCCAGGGGTGGGAGGTCCCTGTCTATTTCCATCTTCCCATGGGCTGGACCCTCCCCTGCGGACCCTCTCCCTTCACTCCCCTCTTTCCTTAGTGTCCAGAGCTCTGCTGGGGGCAGGGCCTGAGCTGAGCCTTTGAGCTCAGAGAGGACAGGGTCAGCGCCCTCACCTGAGACCACGAGCTCCACGGGGCCACTGGGGTGAGACAGCAGGTAGGGGTCGGAGCTGAGTGAGCCGTAGCACCTGTAGGTCCCCGTGTGGGCTGAGGTCACAGGACTCATGGGGAATTC